>NC_000004.12:92254714-92557744 GCF_000001405.40 Homo sapiens | reverse complement strand
CCAAGGCCCTTCTATAAATTTATAATGCCATATATAAATACACATTTCTGTTCACTAGAAGTATATGAAATCGACAGTTTGGTTATATATATATATATAACCATATATATATATGCAGTGAAGTATTAAAATATCTAATACACAAATATAAGGTATATATTATATATATTTCTGCAGTAAAGTATTAAAATATCTAATACAGAAATATAAGGTTTTATTTGGTTGCAATTTATTTCCATTTTAGAAGAAAAAATATATGTGTTAGGATATACTGAGAAGTTAAATTTATGTTGTATTTGTAGATCCATGCATAATTTTCCATGTCTTTAATATCTCTTATTTCCTGTTTCCTGATCAAAAAAGCCAATGTCATTACTAGCTTAAGAATAAAATATCAAATCATTATAAAATTAAAATTTTGAAAATTTAAAATATTTTATTTAATACATTTTAAATATGAATGTTTGTGTTTACAAGTGTCTATAGTAGAATTTGAAAATCTGGTTACTTGTGTAGGAAACAAATGAATTTTTGCATTTAAAAAATAGTAAAAGCTATATATAATTTTGTTAATATTTTAATCTTTTACTGCTGAAAATTTTCCATAATTTTTTGCAAACAAAAACCAAGAAGGGGCAAAAGAGAACACTTCTACAAGTCTTTTATTTTGTGGTTTCTCCTTATAAAATTAAAATTCAGCATCGTTTTCTCTGTTGGGCAATAGATGTTTTATGAATGAAAACTAAAAGGTAAAATGTCCTTATTAGTAAGAGCTGATGATTTTATTATACTAGGATATTACGTGAGTGGTAGGCAGCATGTAAAACGGTTTCCCATGATTCCACCTCCCAGTATCCTTGTCCTTGTGTAATCCCCTCACCTCGAGCCTATTGATTTGTATCTAATAATTAGAATATGGCAAATGTGCTTCTGGGGCTTGCTCATACTAACTAGAGAGGCTGTTGCCATGTTGTAAACTACTCTGTGGAGAGGCCCACAAGGCAAACAAGTGGTCTCCAGCCAGCAGATGTCAAAAACTTGAACAAAGTGAGTGAGCTTGGAATTTGATACTCACTCACGTGAGCCTTCAGATGACTACATCCCCAGTCGACAACTTGATGGCAATCTTGTGAAGGACCCTGAGCACTAGACATACAGCACCCAGATTCCTAACCCACAAAAACTATGAGCTAATATATTTTTGATGCTGTGAGCCATTAAGTTTTGGGGTAATTTGTTATATAACAGTAGTTAACTAATACACTGCAAAATAATAATAATAATAAATGATCCAATGAAAATTAGCTTAAATCGCCTTTCATCTCAAATAAAAAAATTTGAATTAACTAGGATAATGTTCTAAAAATTTGAAAGGCAAATGTATTTATTTATAGTTTATATCTCTAAAATTTGATTTCAAATTTTTAATTAAGCCCTTTTTTGTGTCTGGTAAAGGAAGAATCAACCTTTGACCATACAAAGAAGGATATAAAAAATGAGCATTAGGCTTTGGAAAATCCTTAGCTTCTATAGGGAACTTTTTCCTTTGCCTTTTGTTATTAGAATTTATTGGCTTGTGAAGGAAGTTCTGTTCAAGTTGTTTTTATGCTAGTGGCCCTCCTTCTCACCTTAGGACACAGGTTGTCCACAACTGAGCTTTCCCCAGTGGTTCAGTTTTCCCTGGAGATTACATCTCAGATTAGATTTGGGTCTCCTTCAGGGCCCATTGTCATGGGTAAGAGAAGCCAAAGAACATAAATTATTCAAGGAGGCAGGGAAAAGGTATATGTCTTTGAAATCTAGGAATTCTCTCAAAGTCATCCCTGAGTACCATCTGCCAGAGAATTTAGAGCTCACTGAGGCAGCCTCTAACAACTGAGGGAAAAATGAGAAGGGTGAAATGCAAACTTTTATAGGAAAAAAGAAATCAAAATAATGAAAAATCCTCACAGAATTGAGGAGCATCTGTGGTCCAATACGCAACATCACACCCCTGAAATTTGAAGATAACTCCATCCTCAACATGGCTTGGAAGCCAAATTTGAAAAGACAGGAAATGTGAAAAGCTGTCTTTACTTCTGACAAACCACAGACGAGAAGTTAAAAAGCCTCGAGAACATGCCAAAATGCAATTAAGTAAATTTCATCCCAATATTTTAGGAAGTTTTTCTCTATTTTTCTTCATTGCCAGACCCCTAGAAGATATGATGTATGCCAGCTGCCTTCATTTTTCTCACCATCTCTTCCTTCCATTTCTTTTGCAATCTGTTATCATCCTGAACACTACTGAGATGGATTTTCACTATCCTTAATGAAATTGAAGTTAAGCTTCTTTTTCTCCTACATATTACTTGAAATATCTGTAGCTTTGACTCTTAAATTACTTCTTTCATCCTGGTATGTTCTTCTCCCTTCACAGTTTCATATGATCTAAATCATTCTCCTATAACCCTACATACATTTAGTGCAACTTTACTTCAACACAAATGCTAACTGCGGATAACTCTCATGGGTTAATATGGCCTTTTATATTCACTCAGTGAGGGAAACTGCCTTCCATACCCTACAGATATTAAATATATTCACACTCCTCGACTTGGCATTCAAGAACCTCTTTTATTTAATATTTTATGGTACTTCTGCCTGCAAACTCATGCAACTCTCACGACTGGATCCCACCCTGAAAATCATCCTTCTCTTTTTGAAAAATATTCCCTGCATTTTAATCAGTTAATTTTATTAAACAACTGTAATACATTCTAACCTTATGCAAAATATCTTATTATAGTTGCCTTTACTGACGAGCAATAAACACAATTACCATAACTTGATTGGTTCAAAGCTAAGGACAAAAGGTGAGAAAATTGAGGGCCAACCAGTAAAAAATAATGTCTGACATGACACAAATACATAACGATAGAGCTAGAAGTTGGATTACATGTAATACCAATACTCCTGATTGGGATTCTATTCAGAGATTGAGAAAAATATTTATACAGATCATTTATCTGAGAAGTTACTGCTAGAATAACTACTTTCATAATAATCTCTTTTTGGAAACTTGTCTACTATAATAAAATATTTCCCATAAGGTGAAATGAAAAATGTCCAATGGATAGATTTTTTTCTACCAAAAATTACATTAGCTGTAAACAGCTTGACATTACCCAGGAGTCATGATGACAGGCAAATTACTCGATTAAGTTGTTAACAATGCATTTACTGATATGTTTTCATGTCACTGACATAAACTTTCTGAAATGAGAACTTATCAAATTGTTTTTACATTTTGTCTATAAATTTGAAAAAAATGGTCTTCAGCAAGCTTTATACTCGGAACAGAACCTTGTACATTTCAAAGTGCTTGAGAAAATATGAAAGTCAGATTTCATGTGATAATTATTACTTTATAACAGATTCTTTGTTATTTTCTAAATCATATTACTCGATTTCTCTGTTTCTTTCTTATAGACGGCATCACTATAGGTTTACTGCCGCTCATAAATGAACACAGCATGTGTATACGTATATAAAGTTATGTTAACACCATGACATCTTTCTAATTGCCCCTTTGCAATCTCAGCTATTTCCATTCTAGGAACAACAGCCCTTCTGTATTATCAGTACCTTGCTTTTCTGCTCCCTTTAGTCTCTCAATATATACATACCTATGTGATTTTCATGTTTTTCATGTTTAACATAATGTTGTTGAATATGTTGCTGAAATATATTTGGCCAAATCCTTCAAGATATCCTGATACTATGATTCTGAGATAAATAAAAATGTTAATGATAGGCTGGGCACGGTGGCTCACGCCTGTAATCCCAGCACTTTGGGAGGCCAAGGCAGGTGGATCATGAGGTCAGGAGATCAAGACCACTCTGGCTAACGTGGCAAAAGCCCGTCTCTACTAAAAATACAGAAAATTAGTTAGGCATGGTAGCACATGCCTGTAGTCCCAGCTACTTGGGAGGCTGAGGCAGGAGAATTGCTTGAACCCAGATGCAGAAGTTGCAGTGAGCCGAGATTGCACCACTGCACTCCAGCCTGGGCGACAGAGAGAGACTGTCTAAAAATAAAAAAAAAGAAAAGTTAATGATAAGGATTTGGGAAGTTGGGGAGGTATGTCATTAATAATAGATGTAAGTGGTCAATATAATTTATGCAATTAAAAAATAAGTGAGATGCATCAAAATATTTTATGTAAAATATATACATTATAAAAATACCTATAAATCAAATTTCTATGTTACTGAGAATTACGAAGGTATACAAATGCAGGAGGAGTCATAAATGACATTCTCCTAAAGAAACAAGGTAGAGACTTACCCAAATCAACAAGCTTTTGCTCATGGTATATTCTGTTCAACACATTAAACCATCATTCTTCAGCTTTTATATGAATTATCCTTTCCTATGCTATCAAAGACAGATTATACCACCAAAAAAATTCAAAACACATTATAAAAATTTCATATAAAGAATTATATGATGTGTTGTGTTTTACACAGATTACCCAATGCAGGTGCATTCTGGGAACAAAGTTAGGTCCGTCTTAGATATTAAGCTATAATTGGTAATCACCCTATTCTAAGTTCCATAAAGGGAAAGAATTTCGAAGGAGAAAAATTATGGCCTCTTAGCCTTGCTCCCCACCCACCAAAAAGAAGAATGACTCATCCTATAGGTGATATCAAAGAAATAAGCAAGTAGGTATGTTGCAGCCTGCCTCTTGCTTGCCCCCATTTCATTGTTTCACTTATGTGAGCAAATCTGCTCACCAAAACACACATTCTGATCTACCTTTGGCAAAATCATTGGAGCAACCAAAGGTGACTGAGAGAGAAGACTGGAATTGTTCAGCTATGCCTGAGATGGGTCAGTTCAGTCTATATAATTCCAAAGGGAAGAATTAAGAGACTTGCTTTGCTTGTTATTCTAAGTCCCCAAGTCATCCAATCCAACTTTTATTAGTTATAATGTTGAACTTTGCCTTCCCTTCGTCTGGACATTCTTTGTTGCTCCCCAAAACTTCAACTCCCTATTTGCTAAGACATAACCCTTCATCTTTTCCTTTAGATTCTTAAGAGTCATCTACTGTAGCTGAGCTTTTAAAATCTGCTTCATTCGATCTTAAGAGAACGTCTTCCTCTGGAAACTCCTATATTCTCCATTAGTTTCCATCTCTTCTCTTCAGCCATCATGGATTTTACTAATTCATCATTTGAATAGCTCTGTCTTACAGCTACTTCACACCATTTTGCAGTGCAACATCTGCTTTCTCTACCTCCTCTCCAACCGTTCCTTCTGTAACCCATTGTACTTCCCACAAGTTTTCTGAAACTACTCTATCAAATGTCACAAAGTATCTGCTTATTATTAAATTAAGATAGTTTCTCTTCAGTATTCATTTTTGGCTGTTGTGCTAATTTTAATGTTCACAAAGTTTCTATTCTTTCCTTCACAGTTTTCTGGGATATTACTACTTTTTTTTTTTTTCATTTTTGCTTTGCCCATTCTGCATTCTAGTATCAGTATGGTTTTAAGCTCTGACTTTGGTCTTTTAACATTTAATCAGAAACTTAGTTTTTCCTCATACCGAAGTACTGCTAACTCTGAATACATGCACTACCCTTTCATCTAAATTCCAATTTTGAATTTTCTTTCATCTTGAATGTATCAGTCACCTCAAAATCAACCTGATCAAAACTGAAATTGTCACTGTTCCTCTAATACTGCCCACCCCTTAGTGTTCTTATTACTATTTTGCCTTTATCTTAGGTTTTACATCATAACTGACTTTCCTCAGCTCTTTTTTTCTCTATTCCTTTCTACTGGAGAGAGAGAAACCTTATCTCTCTTACTTAAAATGCATTACTCATAAATATGAAGTCTTCTCCATTCCTAGCAGCATCTTTCCAGTAGAGGCCCTTCTCACTTCATGCATAGACTACTGCAGCAATCCTCAGCTTCCTCTCCAACCAATGCAACATGTTTATAATTGTCTGATGTTATTAACGATGGTATTATTTGTGTTTGTACTATTGTTTATGATTTATACATTTCTTCTTCATGCAGTATAAGTCCATTAATTTATCTCCAACATCTTCACTAATGCTTGTACATTGAATGCACTTAATAAATGTTTGTTGCATGAATAGATGCATAAATGAATGATTAGCTAAAACAAATGTAATCCTCCCAGGCACTGACACATAGAATTTATCTATCTCTGAGATAAGGCAGATATTATTAGTTGCATTTTATAGATGATAAAGTTAGTTTTAGACAAGTTAAATGTCAATGCTACAGGCAACTAAGGGACACAATCTGGGATCGATTGTATAATGTGTGACAATGTTTTATACATTTGCACATAATACTTCTCACACTAAGTTTCAATTCTTAAAATAACATTTCATTGTGTTAGTCCTGTGACATAAGAAATGCGTGTACACACACACACACACACACACACACACACACACAGGTGTAGATGTATATATTTCCCTTCAAAGAAATACTGATTTAGATTTCCAGTCTACTATTTGTTGGAATGACACAGCTAATCACTTAGCCTCTGTGGATGTCATCATTTATAAAATAAAATGATACTATCTATCCTTTCAAGTTCACAGGGGAAAGATCTGCCATATGGAAGTTTAAAATGTAAAGCAATATGCACACTATCTTGTGAGACCTTACTTTTAGTGATCCCCATTTAACAAATTTAATGAAAAAGAAACAATTAACCAGAATCAGAAAACTGGTTTTTAATTGTTTATGGAGAAACAATTTATGACTGATTTTTCAATGAAGTTCTAAAATTTGAGACTAGTCTTTGCAATGTAACTGCTTAACATTAAACTGCAAGTGTTCTTACACTTTTTATATCAATCAGATGCATTCCTTTCCACATTAATATTATCTTAAAATGAATTTAGTTCAAGTATTACATTTTTGATTTTCAGACTTTGCAATTTATACAGTTCTTTTTATTTCCTCATAGTTATGACCCATCATGTTTTCGTTTTGTTTTTAGGTTCTTCTCCGTGCTGTAAAGTACCCTGAAACTGTGAAGGTGCCCTCAATTAGAGAGGCTGAGAAAACAAGGATCCCAGAGCAAGCTCTTCAAGCCTCAGACAGAGAGCCTGCCAAACCAGTCTGAATATTTTTAGAGTAAACAATCATTAATAAATATGAGCTACATTTATACTCACAGGAATCCAGATTATACTCATACTTTTTTAAAAAATGGGTTGCCTCTAAGTGTATTCAATTCACCCATGAAGAAATTTTGTTAACATTTAATGGTAGGTGTCTAATGAACATCTGTGGAATATGGAATTAAAAGAATAAGTTGATGGTTCTTAACATACTATTATAAACTAAATATGTATTACAACATTTTCCTTTTGTAGATGGAAATTATTCTATACTTCACAGATGTTGCTTATATAGTTAATAAATACTCTACAAACAAAAAATATAATCTATGTGTTCATATTTACTGTTGCCTAAAAGTTGTCAAAATTTAAAAAACCATAAGTCTTCATTATAATCACAAAGTACTGGAACAAAGCATTTTGATATTCCATCCACTTCTATGCATGGTAAAATCAGTGGCTCTATATACTGTAAATGTATATATCAATGTCTTATTCTGGAAGTTCAGGTAAAACATAAAATATTTAATTATCTCACTGTAATACACAGTGGTTCCATTTGAAAATTATGCATCTCAAAATGTTGCATTTTATTTAATGAGTTCTTTTTAATGTTATGTGGGTTGTCTCTTTGAGTTTTACCCTACCAAAAAGCTAAAGAGCTATGGAATAGCATACCTCATTAAGAGAATAAAGAGTTACTAGATTACATTAGTATTTCTTCTCAAGTACATATAGTCATATAGATTATGCAGGGTATCAAGTGTCATGTTACATTTTAAACATGACCACTAGGATTTTAAGAAACATCACGGGCATCATCTTTTTTAAGCTACTACATATTTATTTATGAAATGACTTACCTGTAACCTAAACTGTGAATCTTAGCCCTTCAAAAATGGAAATCACAAAAATAATACCAAAAAATGCCTTAAAATTCTTGGGGATTTCTTTTCTTTTTCTGTAAAGGCCTCAGGCTAAGATTTAGATTTTTAAAACTTAAATAGCCCTCAGTCCCTTTGTCATTTAATAACATCAGTTTGACTCTGCATCACTTGGGAATCACAGAGTTCAGAGAATTTTCTAAGACTAAGAATTGTCAGATAGTTGGAGGTGTGTGTGATGTGTGTGAATGAGGACTCATCCAATGAGTGAAGAATGACAAAAATGAGATCACTTCCTAGAGAGAAGAAGACTAAATATGAATACAACATGGTGACATGGTGTGGTATATAGTCCCTGAGGGTAACCATATCTCAGATCACATTAATGGTATAATGTTCAATTTTACTGAGCCTCAGTTTCCTCATTTTCAGTAGGTACCGTATAAATTACATCCAACAAATATTTAAGTGTTATACATTCCTTCAAAGTGCAAAATCAATGTGGCATTTTCTCATTAAAGCTCATCTATTTGAGATTACTTGGTAAGTGTTCATTTTTTTTTTTTTTTTTGCGGAAGACCTAAAAATCTTTAGCTCCTATCATCATCTATCATTAGTTCTTTCTTACATTCCCCAAATAAGAGTAACATGTTTTGGATACATGTACCAACCAAATCTCATTTTCAATTGTAATCCCCAATGTTAGAGATGGGTCCTGGTGGGAGGTGATTTGGCCATGGGGGCAGATTTCTCCCTTTGGTACTGTTCCTGTGATAGAGTTCTTATGAAATCTGGGTGTTTAAAAGTGTGTGGTACCTTGCCCTTTCTTTACTTCCTCCTTCTCTGGCGATGTGTAGTGCGGGCTTCCCATTCACCTTCCACCACGAATGAAAGTTTCCTAAGGTGTCCCCAGAATATGACCAGATGCTGCCATGCTTCCTTTACAGCCTGTGAAATCATGAGCTGATTAAACTTCTTTTCTTTAGAAATTACACAGTATCAGCCAGGCGTCGTGGCCACTCCTGTAATCCCAGCACTTTGGGAAGTTGAGGTGGGCTGACCACCTGAGGTCAGGAGTTCGAGACCAGCCTGGCCAACATGGTGAAAACCCATCTCTACTAAAAACACAAAAATTAGCCAGGAGAGTGCCTGTAATCCCAGTTATTTGGGAGGCTAAGGCAGGAGAATCACTTGAACCCGGCAGGCGGAGGTTGCAGTGAGCCAAAATCGCTCCACAGAACTCCAGTCTGGGTGACAGAACAAGACTCTGTCTCAAAAAAAAAAAAAAAAAATTACACAGTCTCAGAAATGTCTTCATAGCAGTTTGAGAATGGACTAATACAATGAGCTTCCTGGATTACCAAACTGGGTTAAATAAAAGGGCATTGAATGAATACCTGCTACATGGCAAGTGCAGTGCTGAGCACAAGCAGACTAGAAGTGTAAACATAAGGAAGACATACACCTTGTCCTCAGCGAGTAGTGCACCTAACTCAACATATTACATCTTTAATTGAGAAGTCTTGATTTTGTCATTTCCATATTTTTCTACTTCTATATACTTCTTAGTGACCATGTTAAACTTCAGAGTATTATATTATTCCAAATTGTCCTTCTGTCCTCAGTACCATTCTAGATGTATACATTTTATCATTATTGTTGCCTACTCTTTTGTCTGGAATTCAGAAGAATTCAGGTCTTGTAAGTTCTTTTTCTACTTAATTATTTTTTCTGTTTGTTTTATTTACTTCTTCCATTTCACAGTAGTAGACTAATCCTGTTGGAATCTACTTCTTAAAGTTCATTTCCTTCAACTATGTTGCCAATATTCTCCTTTCTTTTTGTAGAACCTAGAATTATTTCAACATGCAGTTGCTTCCATTGAGGTTTCCATTCATTTCTAAATCCTCATTTAAATCCTCCCTACTTATAATATCAAATTATGTGTGAGAACAAAAAGAAGCTGCAAGTTGTGTGTGCATGAGGTATGCTGGCATATAAAGAAAGCAATGAAAAAAAAAAAGTTCCTTTTCAGGATTTTTAACTATTTACCCCAAATAACAATATAAGTCCTGTATTTTCCATTTTGGGTAAGACAAAATTTTAAAATGTGAGTATTTTTTGATTTGTCATTTTGTATGTATATAAACTGAAAATGTCACAAAATCATTTACTTTCCAATTAAGCTTCCCTTTGTTTGTTCACTAGAGAATTAGAACTCTAAAGCATTCAAATCTCACTAAGTTTGTTCCAATTGTTTTAAAATGTTTAATCAACTCATACATAAAAACAAAATAAATTCAAAAATGTACTGAGTATATATTTTCAGTATAGTACCTGAACTGTGCCTGTAAATATTCAATACAAGAACTATTATAATTCTATGTCTAAAGTGTATCTTCAGTAAGGTAAGCTAATTCTATTATTCTGAATAAATGTTATACATGTGTATACATATTTAATAGTCTATATACAAGTATTATTTTATGAATTTTATACATGAGAAACTGAGGCTCATAGCTCATTAGAAACATTGTTAACTAAAATGAGATAAGATATAATAGAGACCAAATATTTAGGTATCGGAGAAGCTGGTTCAAAGTTACAGAAACCCTCCTATTTTTGGAAGAGCAATTCTCAAAGGATACAAGAGTAAGACTTAAAAGATCTGGGTTCTAGCTCTGTCTTGGCTACTTATCTCTCAGGGTTTGTGAACCTCATAACTGAAAGACCCAGGAACAATCCTGACCTTAAACAGGAGGGATGTAGGGAGCCTAGACCAACTATTTGGTGTTTAGCTATGAGCATCCATGGTGAAGACTTTCACATTATGCCTCAGTTCTGAAAATCATTCTCAAGGTCTAATCTCCACTGAACATATTAATAATTACTACTGATTATTTTTTCCTTTGTAGGCAGTATATATCATAATAGTAAGACTAGGAATCCTAAAGCTAATCTCAGACTTGCATGTGTATCCACTGGTAGTTTAAATTCTACTTCAATTTAGGAAGTCCAGAAAGGGTAATCTCAGTTTACTAAGGTGCATTTCTATGTTTTGAATTCCTATATTACGTTTGATTTTGAAAAACACAACTACGTGCACATGTGCACGTGCAGGTGCATGCACACGCGCGCGCACACACACACATGCATCAGTATAATTTTAAACATTAGAAGACCTTCTTAGTTACCGAACAACATAAGGTCACGTGGTGAAAGAAAAAATAATAATAGAAAAACTTGGTAATGTCATAGTGCTAGCTTTCAAAACACTCTTTTTATGGGCCGTTGCTTTTCTCTCCATGATAAAAGGGTCTGTCTGAAAACATGGCACGATGGGGAAAAGTGTGATAACGAAAAATAATCTAAATGATCACATTCATGAAGCAAACAAGCAGACAATATTTTTCCTTTCTTTTGCATGTTGGTTTCTCTGTGTGCTTTTAAAAAACAACATCTACAATAATGATCACACACATAAATATATTAATCAAAGAGACTTCTGTAATTAGTTATCTCTAAATATACAGTCACATTGTAAAGGTTGAGCAGCTTTTTTTAAATTAACTGTGCCAGATAAATAAAGAGGATTGTCCCTTCCCTGAACAGGCAGATTGTGATAGGGAAGCTAGGCCTTGGTGTATCGGAAACTAACAACAACAAAAAGTAAATCATGTAAAAGAGCAGCATTTTAAAAGTTTGCCAAATAGAAGTACATTTTTTCAGATGCTCCTAGAATAAAGTTGCATTGAGGAAAAATAAATTTGGGAACAGTGCCAGTAATATTTTTCATTTGGAGATTTATATTTTATGTTAGCCTTTACTTAAGGCTCTGAGAAGTCCTTGAAGGAGGACTTTGGAGGAAGAAAAATCTGAGCTGGCTTTCGTACATATGAACGTGCAATTGCATAAATAGATGAAATGAGTGTCGCAGCCAAGTGAATCAAAGACCCACTTTATCTGTTACATAAATGGAAAATAAAGCACCATATTGAGAATAATATGTTGGCTATATCCTAAAGATTTTCAAACATACAGAGACAGAAAACAGATTATAATGTTAAACCTTTTAAATTCTAGAACTTAAATTTACCTGCCTCCCATTTTGAACTTTAAAGTATGCCAATTCAAGTACAGAAAAATATTCAGGCAACATTTTCTCATTGCACAAGCTAAAATCTGGAACCAAGCTTACAAAAAGAATCAACCTGACGTTTTAGAATTTAACCTGAATTCACTGGACGTATATTTTAAAGCATTATGCTGATTTCATTCTACTCTTAGACATGACCTTGAGCAAGAGAAAAACTGGTATGAGAAGAATTACCTTGCTTAGAACAGCATTGCTATGATATTCATAGGCAGCTATCCATGGGGACCTAGAATATAAAGCCATGTTTTTCTCTATTGTGCAGTGCTAAATTTCCAGCAATAGTCCTCATTTCCTCTGCCTTAAGCATCTACCACACATTTTTTTTTTTACTTTCTTTAGCTGACATAGCAAATTGAAAATAGGTTTTCATTTCATTCTTTTTCAGTGTAAACACATTAGTAAAGTTTGAAGCTAAAAGTCAGCTTAGTATGCAACAGTCACATTAGCTCTGGCATTCAGGTCAGTGGCTTTTGTCTAGGTGGTAGCATGAACCAGCAATTTCAATCAAAGCAAGTGGCTCCCCAAATGCTTAGAAATATGAAATATGGGATGTATTTCTCGGGTGCCATAAAAAGAATAAAGGTGTAAAAGTAGCAGCATAATTTCTGGGCTCATTACCTAATAAATAAATCCCTGTCATTGAACATAAGAATGCGGCATGATTTAGATGAAGCTATATTGCTCAAATCTAGCAGAGGCTTCTGTTAGAAATAAAGTCAAGAGGACTACGTGTGTATTTTCACAAATACTATGCATGTGTTATTCCAGATAAAGCTAACACATAATATTGGTTACTGAAAGTTAATGGAAAATAGATAAATTAAAAAACTGAAATGTCAGTGAGTTATGTGACCTTGGTCAGGTCACTTTACCTCATCAGGTCACACTCTCTCTTCTGGAAATGAAAAGGCTGAACTGCGTCAGTGCTCTTTTAATATGTTAAAATGCAGTTCACAGATAATATAGCCACCTATACTCTTGGCTTCAAAAAATCAATTAAAAGCATTGAGTATAATATAAAAGAGAAATGAGCAATTTTTATGATAAAATGATGTATACTTGAGTATATAAATGCTCTGGCGCAACCACATTGAAGACATAGCTGAAGTCACCAGGTGCTTACACCTCAACAGAATCAAATTGAATGACATGGCAGCAACAAAAACTAATACCAGTTGTACGACTCAAACAGCATAAAAGCCATTTCCCTCAGTAAAGAGATTTTTATAAAATGATGATTATGCAAAGTTCAGTGGTTCATCAGTTTACATGACAGTTACATTTTCAGAAAATTCATTAAATTTCAAAACCAGGCAAAAATTAAATTTCCTTTTAAGCAAACAGTCAGGGGTCTCAGCTCAGATAATTACAGGGCAACATTTTGTTGAGAGGAACTCCTCCAAGAATTGCAGATATTTATCACCTCTGAATTCTGCCAGCCACTAAGCATGAGTAGAAGCCAGTGATGTGCAACATGTCTGCTCTCAGGAAAAAGTCATGACTAGTATTTGGCAATTTTCAAGATATAAATACTCCAACCATGTTCTTTGTCAAGCTACCAACATGATGTTACTGTGTGCAGAGTTGGAATTAGCCCTTAGGATAACTGGTTCTCACACCACTGGTAAAACTCTGTAAGCACTATGTTAAACAAAATTATTAAGCTTCCCTCTGATAATAACTGACCAAAATGATCTGTTGATTTCTGCTACCATTCCCACAATGAATTGATTTTGTTATTGCCTTGAATTTTGACACTGTCATTTTTTCCTATTCCATCTATCTCATGTACCAACATAAAATGTTAACCTGCACTAAAAATATTAGGGAAAGAATTACTTTTTTGTGCTAATTCACCACCCATTCATTCATTCATTCATTCAGCAATTATTGGGCATTCCAGGTTCTGGTGTTGGTTTTAGAAAAAACTTAATCATCTTCATGGATTTCAAAAGCGAATGCACATATAAAAATGCTTCTTGCAAAACTAAAGTATTTGATGGAGTGAACAAAATAAATGCCTGATGATTGGAAAGTGAATTTTCATTAAGGCTAATAGGATGTGCATATTATAAGAATAAATATTTACAAGTTAATTCTTAAAGTATATGAATTTTTGCTATAAAATTTTTATAGAACTTAGCACTTACTATTTGAAATTGGTTATTTTTAATATTATGTGCTATAGTGAAAATAACATTTACCTTCTTATTCTCTAGACTGTTCACACAGCTCTGCTAACTTATTAGCAGTGTGACCTTGGGCAATTTCCTAACCTGCAAAATGGAGATTATAATGCTGTTTTGTGCTGGGTTTTGAGAAGAGCAGAAATAACATAGTAGTGTGTTTGGCATGCAGGAGCAGTATTACCAATATTATATTATATATCTTTCTTTTCCTCCTAGACTCCAAGTGTTCAAGGAAAATTCATCTCTCTTCCTTTATAATATCTGACAGAATACCTTGCACTTTTTTAACTTTAGTAAATATTTGTAGAATACATGAGTTCCAAAAAAGATGAGCCTATCATGGTACTGTTTGTTTATTTAGAAGTGCATCATGTGTGCACATATAACTATAATGCTGAAACAGAAAAATGCAAAATGAATAAAAACTCATTAGATATGCAAGAATTATTATTTAGAAGAACAGGGTCTACTAGAACCCACACGTACTATAATCAATTATTACCTTCTGATTGTTTACTTACTAATAATTTAATATTTATGCCATCTTAGCATTTTCTTTTTAAATTTTTATTTCAATAGTTTTTGGGGAATAGGTTATGTTTAGTTGCATGGAAAAGTTCTTTAGTGGTGATTTCTGAGATTTGGTTCACCCATCACCTGGGCAGTGTACCCTGTACCCAATGTGTAGCCTTTTATCCCTCACCTCCCTTCCACCCTCCCACCGAGTCCCCAGAGTCCATTATATCATTCTTATGCTCTGCATCTTCATAGCTTAGCTCTCACTTATAAGTGAGAACATACGATGTTTGTTTTTTCATTCCTGAGTTATTTCACTTAGAATAATGATCTTCAACTCCATCCACGTTGCTGCAAATGCCATTATTTCATAAATGACATTTTTTCTTTTTATGGCTGAGGAACATTTTCACTGTATCCTTAACTTTAACCATCTTTTCAACACCTCTGTGAAGAAAGCAGGTAAAACTGTTCTTTTTGATCACATTCAAGAAAAGTTTAGGTACAATGGATTCATAATCTTTTTTTTTCTTTTTCCTCCACCTAGGCTGGAGTGTAGTGGTGTGCTCAAGGCTCACTCCAGCCTCTAACTCCTGGGCTCAAGTGATCCTCCCATCTTCATCTCCCAAGTAGAGAATAAATAGTATACTCAGAACTGCTATACTTTTGGTCACTCCATAATTATTATACCATATCAGCTTTTCTAAAAAGTTAATGAGGATATGCATTTGGGAACTACATTTTCAAATATTCTTGACCTAAGAACCACAGTTATTACATTGTGATATGGCCTTTCTTGAACCTTATTGCAAAAAAAGGATTAAGAGTTAAAATAAAAAAGAACACAAACACACTTCACTCAGCACAATCATATTCTAAAAATCATAATTTTGAGGAAAAATATATTTTAGAAATCTTCCTCTTCTTTTTTCTATGTTTCACCTATTTAAAAAAAATCACAATATTTTGTTGTGGTGGTGGTAGTTATTCCAGGTGAAAGGTGAACAACCAGGATTCTCTAACAGTAAATTAAGATTTTTTTTTTCCAGAAATATCTGTCTGGATCATTGCCCACTCTCACCCTCTACATGGATGCAAACACTATCATCATTTAATCAATGTGTTAATTTCTCTTCACTCTTCATTAAAAACAATATTTTCTTTTATTTTTGACCACTCATATTAATTATACATGTTTTAAATGAAAATATTTAGGCATACCAAATCATGTATCCCCATGTATTAATCCTCATTTTGATAAATAGTACTGGCTTTAATATGAACATAGATTGCTATAAATTTGCCTGTGAAAAAAATTAGATGGATTAGATATTATTATTATTATTATTGGAAAATTGAGATAAGATTAATATGGTTTTTTCACATTCCATGAAGCTTTCAAATATAAAGATTAAAGTTTTCATTTGATTTTATCATATAACTAAAACATTTTTTGATTTCTTTGACCAAAAAATTGTTTCTTGAATGTCAAGATTTTGATTTCTTTTTTTTTTCCTGACTCTTATTTTATTTATTTTTTATTATACTTTAAGTTTAAGGGTACATGTGCACAATGTGCAGGTTTGTTACATTGTATACATGTGCCATGTTGGTGTGCTGCACCCAGTAACTCGTCATTTAACATTAGATATATCTACTAATGCTATCCCTCCCCCCTCTCCCCACCCTACAACAGGCCCCAGTGTGTGATGTTCTCCTTCCTGTGTCCATGTGTTCTCATTGTTCAATTCCCACCTATGAGTGAGAACATGTGGTGTTTGGTTTTTTGTCCTTGCAATAGTTTGCTGAGAATGATGGTTTCCAGCTTCATCCATGTTCCTACAAAGGACATGAACTCATCCGTTTTTATGGCTGCATAGTATTCCATGGTGTATATATGCCACATTTTCTTAATCCAGTCTATCATTGTTGGACATTTGGGTTGGTCACAAGTCTTTGCTATTGTGAATAGTGCCGCAATAAACATATGTGTGCATGTGTCTTTATAGCAGCATGATTTATAATCCTTTGGGTATATACCCAGTAATGGGATGGCTGGGTCAAATGGTATTTCTACTTCTAGATCCCTGAGGAATTGCCACACTGACTTCCACAATGGTTGAACTAGTTTATAGTCCCACCAACAGTGTAGAAGTGTTCCTATTTCTCCACATCCTCTCCAGCACCTGTTGTTTCCTGACTTTTTAATGATTGCCATTCTAACTGGTGTAAGATGATATCTCATTGTGGTTTTGATTTGCATTTCTCTGATGGCCAGTGATGATGAGCATTTCTTCATGTGTCTTTTGGCTGCATAAATGTCTTCTTTTGAGAAGTGTCTGTTCATATCCTTTGCCCACTTTTTGATGGGGTTGTTTTTTTCTTGTAAATTTGTTTGAGTTCTATGTAGATTCTGGATATTAGCCCTATATCAGATGAGTAGATTGCAAAAATTTTCTCCCAATCTGTAGGTTGCCTGTTCACTCTGATGGTAGTTTCTTTTGCTGTGCAGAAGCTCTTGAGTTTAATTAGATCCCATTTGTCAATTTTGGCTTTTGTTGCCGTTGCTTTTGGTGTTTTAGACATGAAGCCCTTGCCTATGCCTATGTCCTGAATGGTATTGCCTAGGTTTTCTTCTAGGGTTTTTATGGTTTTAGGTCTAACATTGAAGTCTTTAATCCATCTTGAATTAATTTTTGTATAAGGTGTAAAGAAGGGATCCAGTTTCAGCTTTCTACATATGGCTAGCCAGTTTTCCCAGCACTATTTATTAAATAGGGAATCCTTTCCCCATTTCTTGTTTTTGTCAGATTTGTCAAAGATTAGATGGTTGTAGATACGTAGCATTATTTCTGAGGGTTCTGTTCTGTTCCATTGGTCTATACCTCTGTTTTGGTACCAGTACCATGCTGTTTTGGTTATTGTAGCCTTGTAGTATAGTTTGAAGTCAGGTAGCTACCCGACTTCAAGATTTTGATTTCTCACAAACAGTCCAGGACATTTCAGTGATAATTATTTTTACAATTCTTTCTTCCTTCATTTTTTCACTTTTTACGTAAAGAAACATATTAGAACATGAGATCCAGTTCATGGACAGCTAATTTTAAGAATGTATAGGCATATAAGAACTGCTTTTCTAATGCATATATCATATATCCCAGCAATTACTAATTTGGTAGCAATGACAATCATTTAATTGTTAGTAATTGAGAAATATCTTTAAATATAACCATTTGGAAGTTTACTTTTCTATCTGTAATGTAAATAATCCAATAGAGAAATGAAAATAATGGATTGTCTAGGATTATAATTACCAAAAAAACAGCCAAAAGTAATAAAAATTTAAATTAATATTTGAAATGAATTACCTATGGAACAGTAGATTAATATTATAAGAAAAATTATATTTCTACCTTGAAAAAATATTTTAATACAAATAAATGCTATGTTTTACTCATTTGCTAATTTTTTGTCACCATTAATGCACAGGAAAAGGCCACCATTTTATAGTAATAAATTTACAGACACAACATGTTTCTCTGTGTAAATTTAAGATAGTTAAACACTCATTAGTTTCAAGTCTAGAAACAAATAGAGTACACACTATATTGAACTGCAAATCGTATATTGTGTTATGTTATCTATCTCAAGAAATAAGCCCATTCTCATCCTGAGTATTAATAAAATATAGTCCCCTGCTTTGGAACACATTTCTCAATTGATGTCAATCACATTCCTTAAAGTTTTGCTCAAAATTCATCTCCTATTAGACACTTTTTTTTTTTTTTTTTGAGATGGAGTCTTGCTCTGTCGCCCAGGCTGGAGTGCAGTGGAGTGATCTCGGCTCACTGCAAGCTGCGCCTCCCAGGCTCACGCCATTCTCCTTCCTCAGCCTCCCAAGTAGCTGGGACTACAGGTGCCCACCACCATGCCTGGATAATTTTTTGTATTTTTAGTAGAGACGGGGTTTCATGGTGTTAGCCAGGATGGTCTTGATCTCCTGACTATTAGGCATTTTTAATAATGACACTCACCATACTCTGACTTGCCATTATTACAATACCTTACATTCATTAATGTATCCATTTAATACATTATTTTGTGACTCTTCCTTGTGCTGGGATCCATCCTAAGACTAGGAATGCAGTAATAGACAAGTGTGATGTCTATTTCCTCACAGAGCATGTAGAGTAACAGCTGTTTATGGAGTATTTACTATGCCAAGGGCTGGACCTATATTATTTAAACTTCAAAACAACTTTGTTAGACAAGTTTGCTGGATACAACTTATCCCTTTTGTAATTGCTTTGTGGAGCTCCAAGTCATACTTTCTCATGAGACTCAATAGGCAAATGCATTTCCTTTGTTTTGTTTTCTTACAAGCAACTAATAAAAACACTGAGCACATTAGTCATTTATACACATTGTTGAGTTACAGGATCATATAGATGAAAAAGAAGCATCCCTGTACACTCAATTTAGAATCTACATTTATCAGGCAATGATGAAATTTGAGAAGTCTAAAACTGATAACTATTTTAATCTTGAAAAGAGTTTAGAAGAATGAGAACAATTGTTAGGGTTATTGAATATAAAGTCCTACAGGCTTGGGTTCAGATTACAATCTGTTTCTCATGAACTGTTTTGAACACTAGTGAGAGAACATGCAAAATGTTAGCCCTTAAAATTAGCCCTTAATAAGATCTCACAGATAGTTATTATATATAATCACTAACAGATCTATAGTAAGTAACTAATAAATACAGAAAAGTAAAATGATTTAATTATGGTTACATACAAGAATCATAATGACTACTTCTGAGAAAAGAACCAGAAGAAATAGGGAAATGGCAACATGAAGATTGGACAGAAGATAACATTTTCTTATAGAGATGGAGAGAGGGTTTTCAATCTACTTAATACATTGTCAAAATAGGATATGAAATCTCATTGTATATTTATTTATTACTACTAATTCTCTGGGTGGTCTTGCTCAAATTAGACACACACACACACACACACACACACACACACACACACACACACACCGCAAGTTTTTGGAAAGCAGATCACTTGCCAGCTGTTTGTATTCCAGGAATGTCTTTGAAAAGGGCAATAGACTGTTTGCAAACACAAACCATGATCACTGCTCACAAGACAAGTACTATTTAGAATTGCTTGCAGAACAAGCCTATTAAAACATAATTACTCATATAATATAGCATATTTGTTCTGGGTAGATTGTAGCAGGAAGAAATATAAGAAAATATATTTGCATGAAAACTTTGAAATCCAAATACTTTCTCCTTTCAGTCATTACAAAAAAGTGCCAATTAAAACAACTGCTTTAAATTCAATCATAATTGAAGATTGGTAATTATAAATCTATTTTACCACTGTAGCTAAAGGGACACATTCAATGCAGCTCACTGCAACCTAATAATATATCAATCTAGGTCTTTCACTATTCCTGATGTAGATCAAAAATGTGTTATTCTCTTTATGAACTAAACGCTTATTAATTTAGGGGAAAATATTAGCTAATTAATAATAGTATGTATATAAATTACTTAAATTATATACAACAACTTAGAATAAGATTTCACGTTCATAACCAAAGTGAATCCCTCATCTCCAACATACAATGAGTGCACAATGGTAAATTTGTCAAGAAAAAAGTTGTAAAATATTTAAAAATAGAACATTATCATTATTTAGTGAAATTGTGTATTGAAGGGTATAAAGAGGAGGAGTGTAAATTCATGCTTGGTTAAGCCTATTGGATATGAAGCTGAAGTAAGCCTATTTATAGAAGGAAGACTGTGCATGTCTCCTTTTCTCTGAGTATTTACAATTCTACTGTTCTTTTGCTAACTGTCTCCTGAACGTGTTATGTTATATAAGGCACTGGCTAATAAATACATAGTAACTACTCATCTAGGGTATTCATATGGAAACAAACAGAAAAGAAACATTTTTTTCAGGTCTAATTTTGAAAACCGCATCTTAACAGCTGCTTATTACACTTAGTCATTCTTGGGGGCATTTATTGCCATCCATTTCTCTCAGACGATTTGCATTTAAGGAAGAAAAACTGGTGAGCAAGAGGCATATAAGAGAAAAAATCTGGGAAGAAAATTATTTTTTAAAGGAAAGAACTAAAATAGCAAGATTTTGAAGATATTTCCATATTCACATATGTATTCAGGTTTGAAGAAATAACAGAAAAGTAAGCAAAAAATTAAAATAACAATCTTATTAAAGTTTTGTGTAAATCATTTTTATTTCATCTTCATTCTTTAAGCACTTATGTAAGTTGTGAATAAAAAATATGGGAGAGTTATCAGTATTTATAGGATATTAATTTAAATTCTACAGGGTAGGTCTGTCTAGTACTATGCAACGTAGTGAGAGGTGAAGCCGGCTGGGTTTCTGGGTTGGGTGGGGACTTGGAGAACGTTTCTGTCTAGCTAAAGGACTGTAAATGCACCAATCAGCACTCTGTGTCCAGCTAAAGGTTTGTAAACACACCAATCAGCACTCTGTGTCTAGCTAATCGGGTGGGGACTTGGAGAACTTTTCTGTCTAGTTAAAGGATTGTAAATGCACCAATCAGCACTCTGTCAAAACAGACCAATCAGCACTCTGTAAAATGGACCAATCAGCAGGATGTGGGTGGGGCCAAATAAGGGAATAAAAGCAGGCCACCGGCGCAAGCAGTGGCAGCCTGCTCACGTTCCTTTCCTTGCTGTGGAGGCTTTGTTCTTTTGCTCTTTGCAATGTATCCTAATGCTGCTCACTCTTTGGGTCTGCAACGCCTTTATGAGCTGTAACAATGAGCTATAACACTCACCACGAAGGTCTGCACCATCTCTCCTGAAGCCAGTGAGACCATGAACCCACCAGGAGGAGAACAAGTCCAGATGCGGCCGCCTTTATGAGCTGTAACGCTCACCACAGAGGTCTGCAGCTTCACTGCTGAAGTGAGCAAGACGACGAACCCGCCAAAAGGAAGAAACTCCTGGCACACCATCTTTAAGAACTGTAACACTCACCACGACGGTCCGTGGCTTCATTCTTGAAGTTAGCGAGACCAAGAACCCACTGAAGGAACCAGTTCCAGACACAATAGATTTCTAGGGCAGGTTCACTTACCACTTGTTTTAATAATAATGGAGTTTAATTGATACACTTGCAGACGAGTGTTCTTTTTTAGCTTGTCTCTTGGTAATTGCATGTGACAATAATTGCTGTTCCTCTGGCCTTTTATGACTTTGTTCCATGTAAATTAATAGCTGTTTTGAGTGCTACCTTAGTACATTAGGTCATAACTGCAATCCCAGGAAGTTTATATATTCCAAATTTAACAGTAGGGAATCTAGTCCCTGGAATTTCCAAAATTATAAAATCAGTAATAAAGATAGTTGTTTCCATTGTTTTTAAGGATTGCATTAATCATAGCACTTGGGGGAAAGAGAATATTGTAGTACAAAGAGAAATGTTTATAAGAAAGTTGAAATATTTTGGAATGAGTGCTTTACTTTGAATTCTAACAACACTTAAAAGTTACGCTTATATTTAATTACTTAATTATAAAACACCTCTTTAACTACATTGTAGATATAGATTCTTAAAATATAAACATCTGAGTGTACCAGAATAATTACAGATATATTTCAGAGAACAGGGTTGATGAAACTTAGGTCTATAGGGTATTATAATTTTCTCTGCTGTCAAAACTGGATAGTTAGCCCATATAAGGTAGAGAATTCACTGTTATATTCAGGCCTAAATGAGAATATTGGTCTTTAAAATATGAGAATATTTTTTCTCTATATTTGCTCCTAAAATAATTAACCAAATCCTAAACATGTAACCTGTATTTTGCTAAAGGTTTTCATCACTGGGGGCTCAAGATATAAACCTGCTATTTCATTACTTTCCTGTTAATTAGTTTAGTCTTTCCAAGCTCAAGTAGGCTACTTTCATTGAAATATACTCACTCATAATATTAACGTCTTTAATAAAGGTGGGAAAATATTAAAATAATGTTGAAATCAAAGCCAGTGATAAATACTGCTTTGTTTTGGCATTCACCAGTGATGTAAGGCTTCCATCCACAGCATTCCTAATCACGACTGTGACAGAAGCTTTTGGATTCATAGGGAAAAATGCAATATTTGTTATAGTGTCATTCTGACAGTAAGAAAAAGAGGGTTAGCTCATGTTATTAGAGAACATAGTAACACTTAAATTGCTATCATACTTTATAATTGAAGGAATTATCTCACCTGTGGTCACATAAGAAGTAGATGACTTGTTCAGTATTTAAACTCAGGACTACCACAAATTGTCCCCCTCTTTGATTTTCCCCAACTCTACAACCACCTATAATTTACCCTGTTTTTATCTTCAGAAGATAATTATATTTTCACAGAAAGACTATGGGTCAAATTGGGCTGGTCTACACTCATGAAATGAATGGATAATTCTAATCTTTGAAGTGTGCTACAACAGCAAAATATCATCCAGTCACTTTTGCAAGTATGTCTACATTCCTGTTAAATATGTAAATGTAAAAGGTAAGAGGATAGACTTTCTTTGAAATAAAAGCTTTACTTCTAGTTCAAAAGATGACCTTAGATCAAACGCTGGATCCTTGATTAAACATTAATATATACCTTTGCTCCCGAAAAATAAGAAATTGTTAGACTGTGAATTTATGAAGAGTTACTTCAAAAAGATTTAAATAAGCTATTTTACTTGAAAGGATACATCCACACAACACTAACAATGATATTTCCATATGAATAATTAAATATATGGATTTATTTTCTTCTAAATATATATCAATTTAGAATACAAATATACTTCTAAAATTTAAATTTCCTTTTTAATATTCCTTTTTAATCTATAGAATTATAGATTAAATCTATAGAATCTACAGCTAACAGAACATCTAAATGTTCTGTTGTACTGATAAATTATTAAGTCTGCTGATTGTGGTGTTACTATAGTTTGTCAAGGACAAAGTACTTCAGTTAAGTATTTGACTTTTTAGATTTATTTCCAAGAAATAGTAAATAGTTTATTCGGATTTCCCTAAAAGGCAACACTACCATATTGTTTAATATTTTGTCTCCTTGTTTTTAAAAAATATTCCATCTTCATATGTGTTATGTGCCTTCTGTCCTCAGACTTGACAACAAAAAAATAAAGAAAGGGGATGAACAGTTATTGTGTTTCTCTCATAGGGGTAGGAGTGACTAACAGGGTAGAGTAGGAAAAGAAATCTTCAGATGTGAATGAAACACATTTTATTTTTAATGTGTAAGGTACCCTGTGTGTGTATGTATGTATGTATGTATGTATGTATGTATGTATGTGTCCTAGTACTTTGAGCATTAAGATTTTTCACAATATCTCTTTTAAGGAAAAATGATTTCTGTATTGTTAAAAGCCAACTGCTTTTTTTTCTTGGACAAAAGCTAAGAAAGATGAAAGCTTTTATAGTTTTCTGTGTGTATGTGTGTGTGTAAATGTTGAATATTTTTCCTCTACTTTCTTGTACCTTTTTGGGCTCCCATACAGATTTAAATCCAAGTTTTGTGAAAGTTTCTCAAAAAAAAAACAAAAAAAACAAAAAAACACACCAAAGTTGTGCAGTTAGTTGCATACTTCTAGGGCCAGGCATGACAATGAATATTTATTTAGACTGAACAGAAAGGGAGAATAAAAATTATTTTTGTTTGTTTTTTGGACAGAGGATCTCACTCTGTCACCCAGGCTGGAGTGCAGTGGTACATTCACAGTTCACTGCAGCCTTGAATTTTTGAGCTCAAGCAAGCCTCCCAAGTAGCTGAGTAGCTGGACTACAGGTGCACGCCACCACACCTACCTAATTTTATTTTATTTTCTGTTTTGTATAAATAGGGCCTTGCTATGTTGCCAGGACTGGTCTTGAACTCCTGGGCTCAAGCAATCTTCCTGCCTCGGCCTCCCAAAATGTTGAGATTACAGGCGTGAGCCACACTGTAAGTCTAGAAGTACAAATTTAAAAAATGGCAAAATACCCTAGACATCATGAAATGTAGAAAATAAACATATTACATTTACATGACTTAGCTTGATAAATACCTTTTCCATTCCTTTTTTGACCACATACTCTAAACTCATTTCTTCGTATGACAACGTTATTGGTTAGAGGCCATCTATTGTCAAATTTGGAAAAACTTCTTTTAAAATTATTCTACACACGGGCAATTATAAACATAATTGAATACTGAAGACTTGTGCTGTAAAAGGGACTCTGATTAATTACACTTTCACATGATTATCATCAAAAAAGGGGAACATATCCGGTACATTTATGATTATATATGTTGTGTTGTTGTGTTGCTTAGTAAATCCCCGACAAGGAGAAATTCTGTTTAGCCTAGGTATTGATGATAACCAAATCCTTTTCTTTTAATTTTTACAGCTCAGTATATTTCAAACTTTGCTTTTTCCTCAACTTCTTGCATACATGTAGGGCCAGGTATCATTGGACAATTGTATATTACAACACAAACTGTGATCCTGCACTTCCCTGTCACAATGAGTTTTCACAGTAGGTAGGAGTATTCCTGTAAACCATTCATACACCTGACTAGTCAGAATAATTTAAACTCTAACTGAACTACATGAACATATCCCACTCAACAGAAACTGAATTCATTCCCAATTCAAAGTTGTTTTAGTGGGATTCCAAAAATGCTAGTGGCCACTCAACCACAACTCTATTTGAGGGAAAATGTGTTGGAAGTTAAGTAGAAAGAGATAACATCTTATCTTTTATACTTTTATAAAATCCTGTGTTCCTACACACACATTGGCATATCTTGGAAAGATATTTGCTAGTAGGGCCTGCGTTAATGAGCTGCTCTAAACATAAGTTGAATTAGTTTTTTGGTAAATTTGACCATGCTCTCATTAATCTCCCATTACATTTCTGACATCTATTTTATTTCTCTACTGAAAGATAAGTTTAAAAATGAAGAAAAAAAACTGAGAATTATCAAAAAGGAAAATCTGTCATAGCTATGGTTTTTAATAACAGGAAAAACCCTCTTAAATGTCTCATTTTCTAGTCCTCTCATAAATTCATTTCTATCTAGTTTTCCATCTCCTCTGTTCTCTCCATGATCATTCCTCTAAAATTTCTTTAAATATGATCACCAGTGATGACCTATTCAAAATGTAGTTAGTATTTCAACACTTATTCTGTGTACACATGGGTCATTTTAGTGACTCTCCATTTTTTTGTAACATCATCTTAGCTTTCTTCCCATCTCTCTGATCCTTTTTGGTACCTTCCAATAACTTTATTTCCTCTGCCTTCCCACTAAATGTTGTTGTCTCCATGTTTTGTTTGTTGGTTTCATTCTCATCTTCTACTCTTTTTATACATTTCTAGTCATACTTCATTTGTAATTAATCTAGACTGTGTTTTTACATTATGTTCTACTGAAAAACTATACCTGAATATCTCGTGGTCATCTAAAATGAATCTGCTTAAAATTAAACTATTTTCTCCTCCTAATTATGCATATTTTCAAACATTAAAAGAGAGACTACTACAAGAAACACTCATTGATCCAACATCTATCTATGCCGAAAACTAAGCTCCAGTGATTAGCAAATATTTCCAATCTCAGTTTATCTATCCCCCCACAAAGTTTTTTTATTTTATTTTTGTTTGATTTTAAATAAAATCCAAGGCATTGTGATTTTTCACTTGTAAATACATCAGTATATGCCTGTAAATAATAAGGACTTTTTAGGTAACATTCACAATAAAATTAACAATAAATCTTAAAAATATCTAAGGCCAAATTTATATTCAAATTTGGGAATTGTTTTAAAGACCTCTTTCTCCCCCCCCGCCAAGATGGAGTCTCACTCTGTCACTCAGCTTGGAGTGCAGTGGCATGATCTCAGCTCACTGAAACCTCCACCTCCCAGGTTCAAGTGATTCTTCTGCCTCAGCCTCCTGAGTAGTTGGGATTATAGGCACACGCCACCACGCCCAGCTAATTTTTTTTTTTTTTTTTTTTTTAGTAGAGGGGGTTTCACTATGTTGGTCAGTCTGATCTCAAGCTCCTGACTTCGTGATCTGCCCGCCTTGGCCTCCCAATGTACTGGGATTACAGGAATAAGCCACCATGCCCAGCCATTTAAGGACCTCTTTTTAAAGTTAACTTGGACAAATAAGGACCCAGACAAATTCTACAAAATTTATTTGATTCTCGTGTCTCGGAAGTCTCTCTTTTTTTTTTTTTTTTTCTGTACTAGTCACTCACTTTTTTGTGGTAGTGGTTGACTTTTTCCACTATTCTCACTATTTTCCATAAGTTGGTAATTAGATCCAAAGTCTTGAAAACGTTAGGGTGATTTTTAATAGAAGAATAGTTCGTATGAGGCACTGTCCTTTTCCTATTGCATCACACAACAAGGCATTACTTTTAGTAATGCTGAGACTTATTTACACATTCAGATAATATCAGCCTGATACCTGCCTTTTGAAATTCTCTGTCAATATCCATGTGATTACCGTATTCATCAATGACTATCACCTAGATCTATTATTTTATGATAGTTTGAAAATGGTGATTTTCTAATTCTATCATCCTTCTGCATTTGCTGGATATCATCTCTAAACAAGGAACTTTCCCTGCATAAAATCAGTACCTAGAGTAAAGTTAGGATAAATGCTTGATCTTCTTATTTATTCAAAAAAAAAAAACCCTTCTTATCCTTCTCTTTCTTACTTACTCTTTCTTCACACTCTATACATATACTCCATACAGTTGCCAACTCAAAGTATATCATGTTGTCTACAATTCTTCCTCTTCTCACCCATATGTAATTGTAGCCGGGATTTGTCTATCTCTAAAGCTTTTTACTATTCTCCGCTTCTCTACTGCCAGCAATTTAAGAAAAATATACTCAGCATTTCATGTCAATGGCCATCATATCAGATTCTATAACTCTAGCTTTTACTTGCAATTCATCCCTGACACAACTATTGAAGAGATGGTCCTAAGTGCAGAATCTGATAACATAATTTGACAGTTTAAAACGCTTAAATCCTTTAACACCTCATTATCTTCTCAGGGTAAAATCCAAGCCAGGCCTTTCACAACCCAATCCCTGCTTAGTGGGCCAACTTCATGTTCTACCATTCCCCAGTAAGCTTACTGGGCTGCAGTTCCATTTAGCTGTTTGGTAATCTTGAACTTGCAGTATGTTTTCACATGTCTTTGTACCTGATAATTCCTAGGCCTGGAATCCCTATCTCCTCTGTTTCTGCTCTTGAAATCAGTATTCATCCTTTCAGACTGAATTCAAATTCAGCTATTCAATGAGGTCTTCTCTCATTGTCCCAGAAGAAAAAAGCATTTTGATCTGTGTATTTGTTCCCTTAAACAGCCTTTAGGAAGACTCTGTGATTGTATAATACCTATTACGTGGCTGAACGATTTGTATACACGTTTGTCATTCTCTCTCTCTCTCTCTCACTACATTGTAAGCGCTTCAAAAACAAGGGCAATCTGGTTATTGCCAAAACTTCAATGCCTAGGGCAGTCCTTTCTATATATGATAAGTACATGATAATGATGAATTATGATTAGTCCTGTAAAGCACATTATGTTTGTTTTCCTTACCTGCACTCTAAATAGCCCTCCCATCCCCGACCGAAGTTCAGCGTTGGTTTCTGGCATTCATTCTTTTGACTCACGTCCCAAGAGAATTCATCTACTGTGGAGTTTTTATCTTTTTGCAGTTTCCTATCTTCCATTGCCTAAATTGAAGATTCACTTAGATGTTCTAAGGAGATTACTCTGCTGTATATGAAAAGACTTTTTACCAGTCCCACACACATTTTGCTTATTCCTACTTCTTTGCTCATATTTTTCCCGTGTATGAAGTATCCTTCCTTTCTGCAAGACTTTTTTTTTTTTTTTTTTTTTACAGGATGTTCTTGGATTTAGAACAAAGAAACGACTTTAGTGGAGCATGTTCAGAGGCTGCCAAAAGTATGTTCGACCCCTTCCTTCATTTACAGTCTGAGAGCTGAGTTAGATAATTTTACCACACACTTCTTCAGCTGGCTTTCCCCGCATGTATGTATGCTCTGCCTGCTTAAAGAGCTCATTACTTTCTCAAGATTACAGTCAAACATTTCTTCCCCAGTATACCCTGAGAATGCTGCTAAACATAGCATATGTTCTAAATGCTTATATGAACAAAAAATAAATCCCATCTAAATGAACGGATATTAATTTTATGTCCTAATAATTTTGAAAGTTATTGACAATGTCACATTCTATTTTGTAACATTATTGTTCTTATTTGGAAAAGGAAAGTTTTAAATACTGAAACAAAGAATACAAGGATCAATCTTCAAACAATGATTCTTAAGATGATACAACTAAATTACATAATTACTATATATGTATAGTAATTATCTTTGAATACATATATATATATACTCAAAATATATATATATATATATTCATAACCCAAGTAAGAATGGTTAATTTGTGAGGCCAAGCCTGCTTGTACATACACTTATTTTGTTATCTTTTCCAGTTAACTGATCAGTTTCTTTATTGTTTAAAAGAAATCATGAACCACCTAAGCTGTGTTTTAAGAAGAGTAATTTTGATGATGCTATCTCAAGTTTTACTTCTCATACTAACTTACCAGAAAAGGCCAATTCAACCAATTTCTCCATATTTTGCAAGCTGTAAAATTCAGTGATTCAAATTATGTGTCAAAAATATCATTGTTTTTATCTTTAGCATTATTACTGTCACTATTTACAGTAAAATAAAAGCAAAGTAATAAGAATGGAGCACTGTAACCTGGACCCTGTAATGAATTATTGTGATCAATAACTATGTTGTTAGGAAGCAATAATGCTATGTTCACATAAAATGGAAAAATGTTTTCTGAATAATATTATTTAGTAAAGTTTGAGGTTGCAGGTTGGCTTTATAAACAAATGTTACACTCTCATTTTCAATCCCTCATGAAATGTTAAAGGAATTGCACTTTAACTTATACATTTTTGGAGGTTTGTCTTATGCTACTAACACACTAAGTGAGAAAAATTCACACTTGAATTTTTTCTGTCTTATTACCTTTGCCATAGTGATTCTGATATAGAATAGATAGTCATAAATGTTCTCTGTTGTAAATGTATTTGGAAATATTCATTTAATGCTTCAGCTATTTTAGTATCTCAGATGACTATATCTCCCATTATAATTTGTAATACTGTATCTCCCTTTTCCTGCTACTTCTTCCCACATAGAGCTAAAAGATATTTTTGAGTATGTCCAAACCCTTTTGAGTTACATATATATAACACAGATTAAATGGCAGACCATTATCATTTTAAAACATACACTGGGTGCAGATATGTATAAAGTAGTAGCCTTGATAATTTCAAATTCACTTTCCAAAACTGAAGAAATCAATTTTAAAATCATTTTCTTGCTCAGTTTACATTTCTAGTGTAGTAATGTAATCAGAATCATTTATTCAAATTGTAAGAGGTTATAAAATCTTACTTCTCTCTTTTGTTGTACTAAATGCATGGAGATTCCATTAGGAGTGATAGACTGTAACTAGACAAAGAGGTACACAACAGTTATGCCACTATTTCATGCCATTCTTCAAAGCAGGACCTTACTAACATTGTGAGTTTTTTTTTTCTCAGTCAAACGTATCCTCATCCCTTGATGTTAACAAACACTCACCTAGCAAAACCAAAACAATGCCAATTTAAAAATAGAGATCTCTAAAGATAAAAACATTTTATATCTATATAGATGCTCCTTGACTTATAATGGGGCTACATGATGATAAATTCATCAAACACAATATTTTCAACTTATAATGAACTTATGCAGGGATAACCCCATAGTAAGTCAAGGAGAGTACTGAATATATTTCACATTTCCTCCATCATAACATTGAAAAATCATAAGTCAAACCTATGACTTATGGTTCAGGAAGACTGTGCGTGTGTTTGTGTGTGTGTGTGTGTGTGCATGTGGCCAATTAGATAGGTGTTTATTTTAATGCAGAATTGACCTAACTTAAGGCTTACATTTTAATATTTAAAAATGCAACCATTGGCTGGGTGCAGTGGCTCATGCCTGTAATCCCAGCACTTTGGGAAGCTGAGGTAAGTGGATCACATATGGGCAGGAGTTCAAGACTAGCCTGGCCAACATGGTGAAACCCTGGCTCTACTAAAAATACAAAAAATTAGCCTGGCATGTTGTGGGCACCTATAATCCCAGCTACTTGGGAGACTGAGGCAGGTGAATCCCTTGAACCTGGGAGGTGGAGGTTGCAGTGAGCCGAGATCGCTCCATTGCACTCCTGCCTGGGCAACAATAGCAAAACTCCATCTCAAAAACAAAACAAACAAAAAATGCAACTATCAAAATTTTTGGTTTTTAATGCCATCCTGAAAAATAAAGGATAATATCAGGGGCTGTGTTGATAGTATTCTAGGACAAATTTACTATCATTATAGCACTGGGAAAAAATCTAATGAATTTTCTTCTATTTCTCTCTTTTTAATTCCTTGACTCCTTCCTTCTTTCCTTCCATCCTTCCATCTTTACTTCCTTGCCTCCCTTTTTCCCTTCTTCCTTTTTAGAGATGACCCATCTATTTGAGACTTGTTCCTGAGCTTGCTGTAGTATCTATAAATGATACCATCTACTCTTAACTTGATCAGCTTCCTACAAACCATAGAACCTCTGTTTTCATCCGTGGTAGTATAAATATATAGAGAGCGTTCTTTGTGAAAACTTATCACTTCTATCCTTTGTTGTCATTTAAAAGTTCAATAACTTAGAGCCCTTTAACTTCTCTTGCGTTCTCACCAGCATAGAATACTGCTCTACAATTCCTCTCTCTGGCTCCAAATGCTACTCTCCCTTGCAAAACTTTCCACTGTGCCATTTAAGTGCTCCTCTATGGTTAAACAAATGTCTCTGCATCTTCACCTGCTTATGGTGCCGTGTCATCATTTTTGTGCCTTAAATAAAACCTGGCTCAACCCAAAATTTCCTCTGCACTCATCTCTAGGAAATGGTTCTTTATTCTCATTCCTCTTACAGACTCCAGTGTCAGGAGGTAGAGGGAGGCTTCTTCTGTTTTTCTAAAGCTGCTTCCAGATAGTTTCTTTTCTAGATTCAAGTATAAATCTCTGCTTCTTTTTTCTCATGCCATCTGTACCTCCACTGTGAGTACCTCCATATTTGACTACTTTCCTGACAGTTCTCCCTCAGTGATTTAGGACAGATGAGTCTCATGGTCTTGCTACTGCAAGGTCAGCCATCACCCTAGGTGATTTTAGGGTATGTAAGGTCCATTTGACACCATAACTTAACAAATGCTTGACTGCCTCCACTTCAATGATCATCATTTCCACTGTTCTTTAACCACTTATTCTAACGCTTATGTCCTCTTTTTGTTTTTGTTTTTTTTTCACCGAGTACCAATCTGACTCTAAGATTTTTATATTCAAATGTCCTATTCTCTGAATATTCTCTTTTGGTTCTTTTACTTTCTTAAATATATAGTAGCTATTTTTCCATCTCATTGGTTCCACCAGTTCTTTGATTCCTCCATTTCCCACCTCACAGCCACTCTCTGCAACTGATCAGCCTTTTCTTTTGCAAATGAGTCTGGACACTTTGGTTTTCTTTTATACTGAGAGAGTATAAAAAATACTCTCTCATTATCACATTATTCATCTGTATTCCTATTCTTCCATGAAAACCACAAGTTTGAACCCTGAATCCATGCTAAAACCAAGGGTTTATATTCCTTTATTGTGCTCTGTAAATGTCCCTGTACAAATTCGTATAATTTCCATTCACTGTATCTAAATTCAGCTTGACCCTCAACATCAGCCATTGTCATAGGCAAGACATTGGTTTCCCAAAGATATCAGTTTCCAGAAGGTATCTACCTCCTAATTCCTGGAAAATGTGAATATATTAGGTTTTCACTCCCACTCTCTGAGCCCCTGTTGTCACCTGACTCTGTACACAGCCCACTGTGAATATGTTAGGTTACATGGCACAGGAAACTAAGAAAGTAGACGGAATTAAGTTTGTTAACAAGTTGACTTTAAGATAGGGAAAGTACCCTGGATTTTTCGGGGAGGTCCAATGTAATTACCAGGATCCTTTCAATGTGGAAGAGAGAGACAAAAGAGTCATGGTCAGTGCATTGTGGTGTGAGGAAGGCTCAACTGACCATTGGTGACAGTGAGTATATGAGAAGTCATAACCAAGGAAAAAAGACAGCCTCTAGATGGTAAACAAAAAAAAAAAAAAAAAAAAAAAGACAAGGAAATCCTAGAGCAGAAAGATATATAGGCCTGCTGACACCTTAATTTCAGCTACTGATACCCATGTTAGACTTCTGACCTATAGACCTGTAAAGTAATAAAGCAGTGTTTGTTAAAGTCATTACATTTATGTTAAATTTTGCAGTAGCAAAAGGAAATTAATATACCCATTAATCCTTTTGACTCCCTAAGTCTAGGATTTACTTCTATTTTCTTCTGCAAGTATTTCAAGTTTGTACTCAACCCTTGTTTACCAATAAAGACAACTCTTAGGGCTCCATCAAAAAGTTCGTGGTCAAAAAACATAGTTTTCCTTGACTTTCTTCCTCTTAACCCCTATACATTTATCTGAAGGATTGTTCTTCCTCATCAACATCTATGCTGTTAACAGTAAAGTAAAATTCCCCTTTAAGCACATCTTACCTTCTATGGGACTTTGCTCCAATTGTCCTGTTTCCTATATTCCTTCCTCCCAGTAATGAGGGAGACATGATACTCTTAGAGGATAATGTAATTCTCTCTTTGCCCACAACCAAAGCTACAGTTCCACCTTATCCCTTCCCTTCTTGTTAGAACCTCTTGGAAGTGTAGGCCCTGTTTTCACTCCCACTCTCTGAGCCCCTGTTGTCACCTGACTCTGTACACAGCCCACTTCTGTGTCCTTCTACTTCCACCTGCGTCCCTCTGCTGAACCTGCTATCACAACTATCACCAAGATCTCATTTCTAGCATACTTTTACAGTCTTTATCTTACAGAGTGACTGTGTGCAAAGAACATAGTGGATCATATTATTTTTGAAATTTTTATTCCTTTACCAGTGACTCATGACTTTCCTTGCTATAACCAGTCTATAATTTCTTTCACATGTCTCTCTTCCTTTACCTAAATTTTAAGTGGTTGCATTCATTTGGATATCTTGGGAATATTCCATGTTTTACTCTCAAACATGCTCACATCTGATCTCATGGTTTCAACTTTAAAATTAATCTAATTTTTGCCTTAACTTATATGCTCTGCTTGGACCTGTCCCCAGAATTTTACTCTAATATTTACAACTGTCTACTGGTTGCCTCCATCTGAATATTCCATATGAGCTGAAATTGAAACAAGTCAAAAATATCTTCCACCTAAATATGCTTTTTATCTGCACTCTTGATTTCAGATAATGACATTTACATTTAACAAGTCAATCAATTTAGAAAACTATTTTACTTTTCCCTCTCTCTTGGACTCACAATCATGGCCATGATGATTTTTACTTGTAAAGTATTTCTCAAGTCATCCTATTCTTACCCATCTTTGCCACCACTCAGTGTTTATTTGTTGAAATTATCTTGCTATACAAAACTATTAACTGTTCTCCCTTAGCTCAGTCTTTTATTCTTTCAGAACTATCTCCTTTATTTATCACCAGAGAGCACTAAACTACAGCATACAATTGGCTATAATTCCTCCAAACTTAAAACCTTGCAGAGGCTTTCCACTGCTTAAGGGGCCATGCAAATTTCTGAATATCTAATTACTCGTTTTTTGTCTCTATTTGATTTTTTAGTAAACATCATCAACTTTCTATGTCCAATAATGAACTCCTCACATTTCTCAGCAAACCTGTCCTGTCATTGCCTTGCCAATCTCATTTGAGAAGCATTCCTTCCTCTCAATTTTCCCAACCCCAAAACTTGAAGTTATCTTTGACTACTGCTCTTGCTCTGATCCTACATCCAATCCATGAGAAAATCCTTCAGGCTCTACCTAACAGTCATATAAATAACTTGACTACTCACCACTTCCACTACTAGCAGCGTTGCTGGAGCAACTATCAGCTAGAGATGATTAAGTCAATAGCTTCATTAGGAGGGTTCCTACTTCCACCTTTGCACTTTGTGAAATTTAGTCACATCTCAGCAGCTGGAATGACAGTTTTAAAGCCTAAGTCAGATCTCAGATCCTGCTTCCTCTGCTGAAAAACCCTCCAGTGATTTTCTGTTTGACTCAGAGTAAATGTGTAAGTTGTCACAATGGCTTATAACGCCCTGCATCGTCTTGCTCTCTGTTCATCTTTTGTACTGCTTTCCTGTTATTTTTTTTCCCTGTTTACTATAATGGAGTGACCCCTGCCTCCTTATTGTTCCTTCAGCCTGACATTGCAAGGCACAATTTAACCTTAGAATATGTGTTCTATCTCTTTCCTGTGTCTGGAATGCTCTTCTCCCAAATATCTGCCTGGCTATCTCCCTCATCTTCTTCAGGAATTCGCTCATATATCACCTTCTCTATTATCTCTACTCCTATGCTCCTCCTTAATACTGCCACCAGCCCCTACTCTATCTGCCCCACAGTGGATTATCTTTATCTTATTCAATTTCCCCCAAAAGCACTAGTTAGTTTCTAATGTTGTACAATATAGGCTCCACGAGGGATGGAATCTTGATTTGTTGTTTACTATTTCCCAAGCACTTAGAAGAGTGCTGGGTACATAATAATAAATGACTACATGTATTATTAAATGAATTAACTCAAAAATATATTTTACAAAATGCTGCACCATCTATTATATGCCTCTGCTCTCTCAATTCTTATCTTTCCAGGAGACTAAGCCATTTGTACTGCCGGCCATATACACTCACACAACTATTCCATGCTGATTCTCACATGTCTTTTCTTATAATGCCCCCTCTGCAAGAAATTTTATTAACCAACATGATTCGTCACTCTTATCATGCTGGTTTATCATTTAAGATAAGCTCAGGCACCATTTCCTCCAGGAAAAATTTGCCTAAATTTGGATTTCTTGCCAATTTATATAATATTTGTCAAATAGAATGTATTCAATAAATGATTCTCTGTGAATAAAGGAATTCTATGCAACAGAGATAAGGACAATAATAGCTCAGTGAATTAAATGTTTAGTAAATGTTTAGTAATGCTCAGTAAATAGTGAATCCTGAGCATTTAATAACTCATTTATTTTAGCAAATCTTTTAAATAAATTGTCGATACTATTAAAATGTAGCAAATCTGAAATATGACTTTCTTTTATATTTTTATGATTTTTAGTTTTTATACTTGTTTGTTATATAATAAAACTTGCATAACATAGATAAATCATGTGTCAAGAATTATTTACTTCTAAGACAACTGTGAAATTTCAATAGTAATAAGAAGTGTAGTATTAAGGAATTTTTTTAAATGTTTATATTTGCACCTGAATTCTTTGCAAATGATATGCTGATTACTACTGGTTAGGGAGATCACTTTTGTGATAACTGGAATTTCTTATTTTAAATATTAAACTCAATAAATTTATTTATTGAGGTAGTTTTTGTTCTAAAAATATTATATAATGTTCTGAAAACAGTGAAATTGTTATTACTTATGAACGGTAATTGTTATAATGGCTCATAACTCAATAACTGTTATGTTTCCTTTTTTTCTCAGCTCAGGGCAAAATGGAAGTGGCATCATTCACTATTTCCTCTAGTGATCCACAATCCAAATTTCTAAGTTTCTGTTTCCTGTCCCTATGACCTTATCCTCTGCTGGCCTAGAGATCTTAGTTACAAAGGGAGGAATGCTTCTATGTTGATTGAGACACAATGATGCCATTGAACTGGAAGTTAAGACTGCCACCTGGCCACTTTGAGCTCCTCACGCATCTGAATTAGCCATCAGGGAAAAGAGTCACTGTTCCAGCTTAGCATGATTGATCCTGACTACCAAGGGGGAATTGGAATAGCACTCCCCAATGGAGGTAAGAAAGAGTGCATCTGTAGGAGATCTTTAGGGCGCCTATTAGCATACCATTCCCTGTGATTAAGATCAATGGAAAACTAGAGCAACCTCATCCAGGCAGGGCTTAGGTCACTCCACCTGGTAAAGAAACACAATCAGCAGAGATGCTTGCTGAAGGCAAAGAGAATACAAAATTGGCAGTGGAAGAAGGTAGTTATAAACACCAGCTATGCCCATGTGAACAGTTACAAAAATGAGGACTGTCATTGTCATACATATTCCTTGTTTTTTTTTATCAATATGTTCATGTGTATAGAAAATATCTTTGTTTTCTTCCTTCTCTTATTTCCTCATCATGTAACATAAGGTATGTTGACTTCATATTCTAATATTTAAGTATTATTAATATTACATTATCCTGAAGAAGAGTAAACATTAATCAAGAACTCTACTTCCTCTTCTGGGGAAGGGTTTAGTACATTTTCAACTGTACACAGGATAGCTGTATCATATTAGGAAAAATTATGAACTTCTTATTTCCTTCATTTGGAGATTAAGTATGACTTAAGGAGTTGCATATGGGTGCCAAGTTGACAAAGGGTGGACTTGTAAAGGTTACTTTTTTGTGTCAAACTGAAAGGGTCATGGAGTGCCTAGATACTTGGTTAAACACTATTCTGGGAATGTCTGTGAGGGTGTTTCTAGATGAGATTAACATTTGAATCGGTAGACTGAGAAAAGCAAATTCCGCCCCCCAATATGGGTGGACCTTATCCAAAGGACTGAGTAAGAGAGAATTCACTTTTTCTGCCTAGACTCTATTTGAGCCTCGACATCAGTTTTCTCCTGTATTCAAACTCAGGTTAAAACTGTAACTTAAACCATCAGCTCTCCTTATTCTCAGGCCTTTGGACTCAGACTGAAACCACTACACCATTGGTTCTCCTGGGTCTCAGCTTGCTAAATGGAGATCTTGGGACTTATTCTTTTTTATAAATATGTAAACCAATTTCCTATAATAAAGCAATCTCTCTCTCGCTCTTATATATACATACATATATATATATAATCTCATATATAAGATATATATATGCATATCCTATTAGTTATGGTTCTCTGAAGACCCAGAGGGATTCAGTACAAGAGCTCTAATTCATGGTATTAGGACTATGGCCTTTATGTGCCTGTGTAGTTGCACATAAAATTACGTTTTCTAGGTGAATTACTTTTTAGTACTTAGATTCTGAGAACTTTGAAATAAAGAAAACTTTACATTTCTTCTAGGTAGGGTAATTTTTAGATATTATAGCAGGTAAATATCTAATTACTAATGGCATATCTCATTTGTTCTTCACAATAACTTATGGGTAGAATTCCTCCCTTAGCAAAATTATGAATTAAATGACTTTTTTCTTTAGTGACTTTTAGGCAAATGCTTCTCAGGTTTGGGCTTGATAATTTTTTAAAAATTCATGCCATCCTATGCTGCCATTGAGTATTATTTGAATAAATAATTAAAATTATAACTAAACCAAGCTAAATAAAGGTTAAATTTGATACATGTATTTCAATATGCATATTTATTTCCCTTATTCCTCACCCCAGCTATGACATACTATCATAGTTTGTCTTCAATTTGGGGTTCTGGAATTCTGTTTTTCTTACATTGGTCAAAACTCTGTGTCAGAAAATTATCCAGTATCAACCATTTCATATGGATTAAAGTAAATGTGATGTTTTATCCCAATAGGCTATTTATTTCAAAACTGATCACTTGTGATAAACTATGTGGCAAGATAGTTTATAATACTTTGCTTCAAAGAATGGTACAGCTTGTCTATTTTCAGAAAAAGGAAGATAATTGAAGAGATTCCATGTAATATTCTAGTAAATGACTGCATTTAAAAGGAATAAACTATTTCTTAAAGGTCAATACCTTTTATGTATTTATTTATTTTACTTTATTTTTAACTGTGGTAAATTACACTTTAACTACTTTTAAATGTACAGTTCAATAGTTTCAAGTGTATTCCCATTGTTGTGAAAAAAAAATTTCCAGAACTTTTCTATCTTGCAAAACTGAAACTCTATACCCATTAAATAATCCTCCATTTCCTCCTCCCACAATCCTCTGGCATCCACCATTTGACTGTCTCTCTCTACATATTTTACTACTTTGGATACCTCATATAAGTGGAATGATGCAGTATTTGTCTTTCTCATTTTTAAACTTCTTTTAACTTTCACCAGTAACCAGCTTCAGTGCTCAACCAAATGCACTAACTTAAGGCTTTTCCTTGTAAGGTTTAAATCTGTGAAAAGCAAATTGGATCTTGGTGCAGGTATATTCTGAGCTTTTGTATCTTGGCAGGGCCAGGATTTAATTTATAGTAGCAATAAGCCTGTTGAGCTAACCTTTACCTTAACTCCTAATTTGGAGAATTATCAGGCAAAGAATCCACTGAAGAGCCTAAATCTGCTCTGAAAAAAATAACAGAGAAAGAAAAAAAAAGGGGGATGAAGAGTAGGAGAAGAAAAGGGAGAGAGAAAGAGAGAGAAGATGGGAGGCACAGACACACTCATTATAAGATTGTAGAAATGGGGTATGGGTGGGGAAAAGTAGTTATTGTTCAGCTACTTGATATAAGTTTAGAAGTTCATTTCTTCATTTGATGAGAAAACACTTTACCTCTAGAAGTTACTTATAAAATCTTGTTATTGCATTACAATACAGTGGGTTTTTTTGGTTTTTTGTTTGTTTGTTTGTTTTTGCCTATCTGAAAATATTGTTCATCTTTGATAGACCTCAAAAGCTGATAAAGTGATTTATAGATATGGACACAAAATGTGGGTCTCCACATAGTGGCACTCAATACTGGAAAACCAAGTGAGATGTATTAATATTTGGAACATTTCCTTAAAAGTACTTTTCATATACTTCCAGAAATTTTTAAAAATTGACTATTTTAACTCTGGAAAATGTTATGGTAAAAACTACTACCTCATGTAGCTGACTGAAGGCACAGTCTTCTGAATTAAACCCAAGTACTACTCATTTTTTGGTTCAACTATTTATGACTGACCTTGTTCATATACGTTAAAAGGAAACAGAAGATATGAGGCCAATATAGTTGAAAGATATTTAATATTTTTTAACAACATACACATTCACACACACAAATTAACAGAATAATATCTAAAATATGAGAAGCTTTCCAAGACTTTTGCTTACAAAGTATCATTATATCCTCAAAGGTATGAACACTTTCATTTTTGTTTACCAGCTCTCAATAAATATGATGAAAGATAACATTATGAAATATTCTATCATGAGTGAAAAATGAAGGAGTGTTTGAATAAATAAAGCAAATGAACAAATGACTAAAAAAATGGGAGGAACTAATTTCTTTCCTGTTGTTTCACTTTAAATTTACCTTTGGGACTATTTGCTACAAAGAGTAGGAGCCGTCTTGCTGAACGATCTTATTATGAGTAGGGTTTGAATTCTGACTTTATGATTGAAAAGCTGGGTAAGCCTACGAGGGCATCCAGTACGTGGCAAATTGGTCATTATTATACAAGCAAAGAGCAATACTATAAGAAGTGAAAAAAGTCTTCAAAATATGTAACTATCCCAGATATGTTTATAAGTTTCTCTTTTTATCTCTCTGTATGATTTCTTACCACCTTGTTAATGGTGCTTATTAGTCACATCCTTAAAATGAAAACAGAGCTATGATTATATTTTTATAAATAATAAAATCCATAGAAAGAAAGTAATTAGGCAAAGAATCTACTACCTACCATCACAACCTAACGAAGAAGAGCAGACTGTATTCCTGGAAAGGGTATAAAGAAGATGAGAGTGTCGAGAGCCAGTGGGAGCTAAGAAGGGACATTGGGAATTTACACTGCAGGAAGCCTGCACAGTAACCGAAACATGGCAACACTCATCTCGTTGCCTGTTTGCCTGGCACCTCCTCTTAGGGAAGGTTATGGTTTTCTGCCGCCATGATTGATGCACAGAATCACAGACGTGTCACAGCATTAAGGAGCTACATGACTACAAAGACATGCTGCTTTAAAGTGAGCCTTATCTGAGCTTAAATATAGAGCACAGCTGTCAAACCACACAGGGCTTTCTTCCAATCTGATATCATTAAAATGATTTTGTGAACTGATTGTAATTTGAAACGATAGGGTTGCTATTACTAGAGAAGATGGGTCAACTCTGGGTCAAAGCTGAACATCATTGATTGCCTACTATTAAATGTGGTTTATTTTAATGATGTTATAGTAAAGAAGTTGTTGGTTATTTTAAGTATTTGATTGCCTACAAAGTTACTCCTAGAATTCAAAGAATTGTTATAGAATAAAGGATATATACAACATGAATGACATTATAAACCAAAAGGTCAAAAGTTATAGCAAAACTGCATCTTACCATCAAATAAAGTTTAACAAAGCAAAATGTACTAGCCAGTCTTTCCCTTTAGGGCTAGTTGAGTTGATTCTCTGCAGCATACGTTAAGCATTCCTCCACATAATTTTCAAACAAAATATTTGAGTTATAAAGAACAGAAAGATCCCAACTACAAGCCTTGTGTGACTTTTCTTTTACATGTATCTGACAGAACGATAATTTTCTAGCAAAAACATAAAGTAACATGGTTTAAGGAAGGCAACATTGAGTGGTTTGGGGTCTGCAGGACTCTCCATATGAGCCTGACTATCAATTTTTTAAAAAAATCTACTTTCTATGTAAAAATGTTAATCATTCTGACAAATGAAGTGAGAAACTAGTGTCAGAATAATTTGCCTTCGTAGAAAGTCACAAAATGTAGGTAACATCGACAAACAAAAGAACAATATTCTTTTTTTCTCTGTTAATCACAGAATGTATCCAATTATTTAAAACAAAGCTCAACCGTTAGTAGGTACTCAATAAATATCACATAAATAACAAGATTGTAGCAGCTGTACCATTTGTGTGAATATACTTCTACAATACCCAAGGTAGATTTTATCCAGAACAAATATAAAACTTTCGAAAGTTATCTGATGGCCTCTGAACTAGTCACATAGGATAAACCCATTATTAATAAAATCACTGGACTTCTTGATTGGTTGGAATACTCTCTTATTATAATTGCCAGGAAATGAGATTCTTCTGAGCTGAAATCCAACCTCTTTGTAATAAATTAACAAGTGAAAAAATAGATCCCAGAGGAAAAACATATAGTTATTCAATATAATCTTTTATAATTCAATGGAAATAATTTATTGTCTTTTATGTTGTCTATTTTAGTTGATAGTTTAATTAGAAGATTAGTTTTAAGAAACAAGGTGACGGGCACTACAGTGATCACAGTTTATTAAAGACTTGTGTTAATTGGATTTCAATGGTGAATTCTATGTAGGAACAGAAATAAAAAATGGTGAACAACAGAATTTTAATATAGCTTAGCAATTTTTCCTCATTCTCATAGTGGAATCAGAAATGAAATTAAAAACTACAAATGAAGTATAATTTATACTAAGTCATCACGTCAATATAAAAATATAACAACATTATATGTATCGACTATGTCAAGAAGAAACTGCACTTCCCTCAGCTTGGTATTTCTGCATAGTTGAGGGCAATTGTGGAGAATCACTAATCCAATCCGCTGCTGGATGGAGACCTGATATAGGGCAATTGCAAAAAGGTAAGAAGAAGAAATACTTTATACACATACTGAGCCACAACCTCTAATATCACTGCTTAGAAAGAAGAGAAACAGACAGACCAACTTAGAGCATGGCTGCAGGCATGGGGTAACTTTGTGATCAAAGGAGTCTGGCAGGCTTTGTGACTATGAGGCAGGGATTCAAGCAGAGCTGAGTTTTACAAATAGCAGCAGCAGCAGCCATAGAGCAAAGTACAGTTTTAACATGTGTATTATGTGGAAATGACCAGTGGCCACTTCTGTCCTTTTTGTCACATAGTCTATATGGATACCAATTGCTATAGAAGTGTAATTCTTCATAGAAAGATCTAAGATTTTATATGATCATTCTTCATTGTGAAAACTTGTGAAGTCAGTGAGGACACATCAGCTAGCAGTGGTAGTAACAGTATATCTATTTAAACTTGACTGAGTATAGTAACATTAGATTTTCACAGCCTATGGAAATAGCAGACTTTCTTTTCATTTAGTTGAAAATGAAATGTAAAATATCTTAAAAACTAAAAATGTATGTAAATTACCTAAATCAGTACCTGAGTCATAGAAGTGCTAAATGATTTCTTATTCACACTATCAATAATAAATTCAATAAACTTTCATATATCTCAAGTTTATTGGGATTATAAAGTAACTTGTGCTGTCAAAGTGATTATAAAGTGATTTATAAAATAAGCTGTACTATCAAATTACAGTTATACATAAGGGTTGAACATGACAGATTCAGAATACAATAAAATATGTGGATCAATAATATAATGCTGTCTATGTGAAATTAAGGCTGTTATGGGTAAAACAGAACTCATCAGTTGGCTCATATAAGCAGTTTAGTAAAGAAACAACAAACCCTTTTCATGTTTTTTATTTATAGTCTTCCCCTGAGAAATGCCTGCCCATTGTTGGTCCTTCCATGTCCCACAGTTCCAAAGTTTCAATTCAAGGTGATGAAATGAAAATACAGCTTAGGTCCTTGATATCAGCTCTTAACTTTTTATTGTTCAATTCGTCTTCAAAATCCTGAAGAAACTGGTAACCAAGTTCTATGCTATGCTTTCTAATTAGAGGTCTACACAGTACATTAAACTCACATAAAATATATTTCAAAATAGTTTTCCTTTATAGATCTTTATCAATCATTCATTCATTTATTTACCCTTCAACTCATTCAATAAATATTTCTGAGTACAGACTACAGTATCCAGCACTATGCAAGGAAGAGGGACGCAGCATTGAGTGAAAGCAGGCAGGATCTCTACCCATATGGTGCTGACAGTTTTGTAGGTGAAGCAGAGGTTAGTGAAATCACCATACAAAAAATGTAAAGTTACAATGATAATAAGTACTAGGAAAGAGTGCTACATTGTGCTATGATATTGTATAAGAGGGAGCTAACTTAGGATACAGTCAAAAAAATACTTCTTTGTGAAATTCACCATTGAAATAGAGGCAAAGAGGAGGAATTATTTTTGAGTAAAGGTGGCCCTGTGTGCAAAGACTTTGAAACCTTTGAAACAAGAACGTGCAATACTCCAGGAACTCAAACTTTCTCCTGTCAATGTGCATAGAGTTCCCAGAATTAAGCAGAACATGGTGTGTGATAGAAACAGAAGCTTGGCCAAAATTTTTCATTCTCTAGTAAACCTGCTTGTACTGATCAATTTCAAGGTGCCAGAATCCTGTGACAAAATGTGTTCCACTGTATTGAATAATAATGTTGTAATGTCTAACTGATGCTATTGGTAAGATAGGGGCAATAGGTTAATTAAGAAAGAGTCAGCTTTTATTGACAAAGATCACAGCAATTAACAATGATACAAATCCATATACACGAATACAGTACACACCAGTTTAGGAAGGTTGTCATTGCTATAAAAATCTTGCAAATGTGCTGTTTACACTATTTGCTAAAGTATTCTCTAGGAGCCATTCTATATGTTAATCTTGTACTTATGTTTTATGATATATTCACAAATGTGTGTTCACTCAATGTCTCACTCAATTCAAAGTAAGTTAAAACTTTAAGACTCAACCACAATACACATCTATTAAAATGATACTTTTTCAAAAATATTACAGCCAACTAAAAAAGAGGCAGAGTAAAAAGAATAACTATATAATTACGTTCTCAGGGTCAATCTTTAGTGGTTATACAAATAAAACTATCCCATTCTTACTTCTAACAGGATATGATTTGCCAGTTGAGATATAAGCTAAAATATCTATTAAGGTAGATTCTGAAAACACACAGAACTAAGGTGTAGGCACCAAGCAATGAAACAGAACTTTGAATAGACAATAAATATGCTTTATTATTAATCATAGTGTATACCTCTACCTACCTAGGACCCCAAAATATTAATTTAGTTAAAGCATTTATAAAGGCTCATTGTCATTTAAGTTTGTAATTTTCCTTCCTAAATGATATCTGGAGCTATTTGCTGGACATAGTGACAAATAATTCATCTCTTTTCCAGATTCTTTACTGGCTGACAGACATAGAGAAAGCTTACTATGTTTTAGAATTTCTTTTGTCTTAAAATAATCGTATATATCCAAAAGAATTAAAAGGAGAGACTTGAATGAACTCACATGAATGAATATTTATACAACCATGCTTAGAGCAGCATTATTCATAACGGCCAAAAGGTGAAAGCCACACAGATGTCTATAGACAGATAAATGGTAAGTAAAATATGTTATAACACATACAATGAAATATTATTCAGCCTTAGAAGCAAGAGTATTCTGAAACATGCTACAGCATAAATGAACCTTGAAGATACTATGCTAAGTGAAATAAGCCAATTGCAAAGGACAAATACTACATGATTCCACTTGTATGAGGTATCCACAGTGAGTAAAGTACCTACAGTACCTTACATAAGAAAAAAAAAAATAGAATGGTCATTGTCTTGGATAAATTCATGGACATGGGATGTAGAATGGTGAATGTCAGGAGTTGAGGGGATGGGAGACTGAGGTATTATATATAATGGGTACAGAGCTTCAGTTCATTAAAATAAAAAGTCTCTAGAGAGGGATGGTAGTGATTGCTGCACAAAAATACAATTAATGTCACTCTACCACACATAGTTAAAATCATTAAACTAGAAAATTTTACATTATGTGTATTTTATTTCAATTAAAACCAAACATCTTTTCCCCACAACCTCCTTCAGCTCCACTTAATTTTTATAGCAAAACTTTCATTGATTTGCTTGTTCCTACTATCTCCAATTTCCTTCCTCTCTTGAACTGATTCAACTAGACTTTTAATCCTAATATTTTAACAATATTTTAATTCTTAAGGTAATCAAGATCTCTACAGTGCTGAATGCAACGATTATTTATCAGTCTTCATCATACTTGAAATGTCACTTGGTGACTATATATTCCAGGTTTCCTGAAAGAGTACCAGTTTGTATTTATAGTTTAGATGTAACTAATAGTGACCCCTTTCATTTTCAGAAGTGTACCAGATTGGATGATAATATGATTTGGATGTTTGTCTCCTCTAAATCTCATGTTAAAATGTGATTCCCAGTGTTGGCGGTGGACCTGGTGGGAGGTATTTGGATCATGGGGGCAGATTCTTCATGAACGGATTAGTGCCATCCCCTTGGTGATAAGTGTGTTCTCACTCTGGTAGTTTATGTGTGATCTAGTTGTTAAAGTGGGCTTAGAACCTCCTCCACTTCTCTCTTGCTCCCACTCTTGCCATGTGATGTGTTGGCTCCCTCTTCACCTTCTGCCATGATTGTAAGCTCCCTAAGGCCTGCCTAGAAGCTAAGGATATGTCAGCATTATGCTTCCTGTACAGCCTACAGAACAATGAGCCAAATTAAACCATTTTTCTTTGTAAATAACCCAGCCTCAGGTATGTGTTTATAGCAATACAGGAAGGACTAAAACAGACAATAAATCTTATGGTAAGCCAAACTCTCAGTATTCTACATATTTACTCACTTTATCCATATTTAAGTATGTTATTTACTTGACTTCTAAGACATCACGCTCCTGGTTTTTGTTTTAGAAAGCACACTCTTTACTGGATTCCTTCTTATTGCCACTGTTTTTTTTTTTTTAATTGACACATTGTAATTGTACATATTTATGGGATATGGCTTGATGTTTTAATACGTATATATGCTTTCTAATGATCAATTCAGGGTAATCCGGGTATCCATTACCTCATGAATTTATCATTTATTTGTAGTTTGGATATCCAAACTCTTTCCTACGTATTTCGTAACATACTATGACTTATTGTTAACCATAGTCACCCTACTGTGCAATAGAACACTAGAGTGTATTCTTCGTATCTAATTGTAACTTTGTACTCACCCTCTCTCCATCTTCCCCTCTCCTTTCCTCACAACCCACTATTTCTTAACTTTGAACTTCCCTAGAGTTTGCTTCTATCAAACCCTTGATGACTATACCCAGTCTTTCGACTTGAAAAATAGCTAAAATTTGATTACTCCTAAATTCATACCTCTAGCCTGGACACTTCTTAGCCTGCAATGTGTATTTCAGGGTTATGTGGAAAACTCCTCTGTGCTGTCTATAATCAGATGTCTAATGGATATCTCAAATTCAATAGGTTCAAATTCAAATACGAGCTCCTCATCTTCCTCATTGATTTCTCCATCTCAGTAAATGACAAATCCATTGTACTGGTTCAGATCCAAAACCTTATATGCTTTTTTTCTCTCTTGCCCCAAATCAACCTATCAGAAAGTTCTATAGATTCTGACTTCAAGATATATCCACAGTTAAACCATAGTTACTATCATTCACTATTACCACCTTGGACTGGGCATCCACCCTCTCAGATTATTGTAGCTGTTGTTTTGCTTATTTCTGTCCCCTCAACCCTTCCAACCCAATACAGTCTCTTATTAACGCAGTATCCAGAGGAATTCTGTGAAAGTATATGTCAGAATATGACATTAGCCTGCTGAAAAACTCTAGTTGTCTTCCCATTTTTCTCAGAGTAAAAGTCAAAATCCTCACAGTAGCCAACATGGCTTTTCATAATTTGGCCTTCCCTTATCCCTTGGAATGCACATTTTTCTGCTCTATTTTTTAAAGTATGATCTGGCAACACTGGGCTTTTGGTGTTCCTACAATATACCGAGCATGCTGCTATCTCAGAGCTTCTGTGCATGCTGTTTCCTTGAGCCACAATGCTCTTTACTCAAATACTTAATTATCTCAAAGTCTCATTTCATAAAGGTATTAACCAAAGAAATGCCCTTTTCAACCACTCTATTAATTTGCAATGCCACTACTCTACCTCAATGTCCTTTTTCTACTTAACTTTTCTGAAGCACTTATCACAATCTAATACACTCTATATTTTATTTAGTTTTATATCATAGAAATCATCTCACTGGATTATAAACCCATAGGTTCCATGAGAACAAGCATTTATGTCTGTTTTATTCATTAATATATCCTTTTTGCCTCAGTGCATTTAGTAGGTACTCAATAACATCAGTTGAGTGAATGAAGGAAAGATAATTTTTTAAAAAGTGAGAATAGTGCCAATAGTTGTTTGCTGATTAAGATCCAGAGATGATCACTTTTTATTAAGTGTCTACTTCTGCTAAGCACTGTATTAAAGATACAAAGAAGAATAAGCCAAGAGCCCTGCCTTCACTGAGTTCATATTCTATTGGAGATACAAACAAGTAAACTAATGGTTATGTTTTTTTCTGAAGTTTTGTCCATTTTTAATAATATCGTCATTTATATTATTGCTCATGTTATAAACACAGTAATTATTCTTGACTCCTCTTTTATGTTCAACTCCAAATCCAATCTATCAGTTCTTTCTTTCTTTTTTGGTTTGTTTGTTTGTTTGTTTTTTAACAGACAGGGTCTCACTCTGTCGCCCAGGCTATAGTGCAGTGGTGCAATCATAGCTCACTATAACCTCAAACTCCTGGGCTCAAGTGTGCCTCCCGTCTAAGCCTCCTGAGTTATTTTTATGTAATACATCTTCAAAATGGATCCTGGATCTAACTACTGCTCAACACCTCTACAGCAACTACCTTGGTACAAACCACAGTTATTTCAACTGGGGATTTTATTAGCCTCCTAACTGTTCTCTCCACTTAAACTCTTTCCTCTCTCAGGCATCCTTTAAAAAAAGTATTGTCTGCCATTCCCTGCTCAAGATCTCCCAAAGTTCTCCCATCTTGCTTAGAATGAAATCCAACCTCCTTACTCAGACTTACAAGATCCAACTCTCTCGCACCATCTTCTAGAACTTTTCTTTCCTCTTCTCCAAACACCAAGTCTTCTTGCCATTCCTACAACATGGTATACTTATGTCTCCCTTCCGGCTTTTGTGCCTGCTCTTTCTCAGTGTCTTCTCCTAGATCTTTGCTCCTTTATATTGTACAGGTCTCAACTGAATGCCACTTCCTCAGTAAGGGCCTCCATGACCTCCCTTCCTAAAATAACACTTAGATCTGTCAGTGTTCAAAATATACCATTCGTTGATTTCTTCATAGTACTTATTTCTTCCCTTATCCCCTTCTAGAATATGTCCTATCAGTATTTACCGATAGAATATGTCCTATCAAGTATTTACTGCCATACCTTAAGCACTAGAACTACATACCACTCACAGTTGTAGTATGAGTGGTATGTAGAAGGTTTTCAATGAATATGTGTTAATTGAATCAATAAATGGAATGCAATAAGTGCTATAATGAAAGTACTTTATACAACAACTGTTTCTGAATTCCTACTATGTACCAGACACTTTTTCAAAAACTGTGTTTACAAAAAGAATAAGATATAAATACTGTTCCTAGGAAAAATAGTCTATTTTGAGTTTCAGAAACATAAGGACCTTCCAGTAAAATATGATGCTGCAAAAAGTGCTACTAAAATAAATAAAATAGAATATTTCTGCCTAAGACAGAAATAATTTATGAAAGAAGTGGATTTTTTGTACTGTGCTGTGAAGGAATTTACAATGCAGTAAAGCCAGGGAAGGGTATTCTACATAATAGAGGCTACACAGCCCAAAGCATGGACCATATGAAAGGGCTTGCTACAAACATGGCACTAATGCTGTGTGAATTTAGCACATACTAGAATACCTTGAAGAATGACTTGAGATGAAGTTGGAAACCTGAGACTCACATTCCAAGAGTGTTATATGTTGTTTGCCAGGAAGCAACTGAGGCAAGAAGCACTGTTATAAAGCTATTGCATCAGGTAAAAGAGGAAAGGAAGAAGGAAAAACTGAAAAAAAGATATTAAGTACTCACTGCTAAGATAGATAAAAATAAGGACAATATTGAGAGTTTTTACAGAAGTAGCTCTTGTACTGATTTTTTATTTTTTAAATTTTTATTCAATTAAAAAAAACTGGACTCAGAAATTAACTACATAGGGGTTATGAGGAATAGTGAAAGGGAGAGGATTCCAAAGGTTTTATATTGAGGACCAAGTAAACAGTGATGCCCTTCATACACACAAACACACACACACACACACACACACAATTATACACGAGAAAGCACATTAGTAGCAGTGGAGTAGGCAGTGGGAAATAATATAATTTTTCATTTTCAATGTCTTGAGTTTGAGATTTTTTCAGGACATCCAAGTGGTGTATCATCTTAGAAGGAGCTGTGATATGCTCTGTAGTTTCAAAGAAATATCCCTGCAGGAAATATATGACACTCTTCAAAGGGGACTGAAGTGAAATACTGCATGTAAAGCTATCAAAAACATTAACCTCACAATATTCTGACAGAATAGAATCATCAAAATGCTGGGGATAGAAGGAAGCCAGATTGTAATAAATTAACACATGAATTGACAGTGAAGAATAGAGATAGTGAAAGTAGACTGCTTTTTTTCAAAGAGATTTGCAGTGAAATTAGGGAGGGAAAGTGACATAGCCTGAGCAGGAGGCAGGGATGCTAAAGTATTAGAGGAAATAATCCATTTAGCAGTAGAAGCACAGGAGGCTGACAGAGAAATAGAGAACAAGATGAAGAAGATAAATAAAAGACATATTAGAAAAAATGAAAGATTTTTTTCAGAAACTGATGACGCCAATTGCTACCTTTTTGTTTCTGTTATATCCTGAGTAGAAATAGGAAGACACATACCACATCAACCTATTGTCTCAAAGGAGGTGAATGTATATTATTTGGGAATACCTGAATGCTCTGTATTCTCCAATTCCTAATAACTGCCTTCAGCAAAGCAAGAAGAAAAGGATAGAAATGTATTATCGTATATAGGTAAGGGATACAGTGAGAATACATGCCAGAAAATCATTTTCTCTTAATCTAATAAAAAAAAGACAATTTTCAAGCTGTCATGTGCTCAGACATTCAACAAGATTCAGTACTCTTCATAGTCATGACAAACTTTTCCCAATATAATCAACTGGCCATCAATGTTTCTTCTGATTATTTTGCTCATGCCAATAAAATGTTATTATATATTTCTTTTCTAAAAACAGCTTCCCTCTTTCACATTTGCTTAAAATTGTACTTAATACAACCTGTTTTATGCATCCATGACACTTTGAATGACCATACAGATATTGTGTCACATAGTCACTTAAAGTTCTGTCCAGAAAGCTATTGTTGTTCTCCTCTCCAATTTCCTAGAAAGCAGCTCAACTCATTTATCACAGAATCATTTAGAATCCCACCACCACATTCTGGCATCAAGCTGGTTGCCTACAGTTGATTTTCCTTTTTTTACTGCATGCTATATTTTGTATCCCTTGAATCTTGGCCACATGTACTTCTAGAATTCAGTTACTACTACACTAAATTGCCCAAATTATCACTATATAAAGCTCCAAAGTGTTTCCTTAATTTTAAAATAGTCCATGAATTCAATATATACATTTTCATGTGCTTAGTCAATATGCAAATGCAGAAGAACTGCCATTCTTAATCTATACCTACTTTCATTTAATGTTGATTGAAGTATCTTTATTGCTCAATATAATAAATGCCAGCTTCTATAATTCTTGATCTCAAATATAAAAAGAGATTTCAGGAAATGGTGGTAGAATATATAACTTATTGACACTCTTCTTTTGTGAACAATACTTATTTAGAAGTGTATATCAATATAAAGCTCTGCTGAGGATTAAAGATATACATTGCACTAAAAGATATATTCAACAAAAATTTAGAATGCCTGCCAAGTAGTCCTGTCCTCTGGGTCTTCCACTTTATCCCTACTGTCTTCTCTGATTAACATCTGCAATAACAGATTAAAGCAATGTCTTTCTTGTAAGCTTTCCTTGTCACCTCACAACTCCCTCTCCTCCACTCCCCTAACATACTGTTTTCCAGACTCTAACAAAGGGCACATGTGGCATTAAATTCACTTATCTATTACAACACTAACCCGTGGGCATCATGACCATTGACTGTGCAAAATTTTATCACTATGCTGTGCATGCTTAAGAATAAGAACAGGTGTTTTATATATGTTAACTTGCAAAAAGAAAGGAAGAAGGAAGAAAGAAGAAAAATAGGGAAAAGATCTATATTATAATTTAGGAGCACTTGATATGACTCTGACTTCTTCATAGGATTTTGCCTTTTTGTCAGCAGTAGAAAGTTGCCATTTAATCCAGGCCATTAAAAATAAAAAGTTATGGACAGCATTCTTTATAAGTACAGAAAATAAATGAGAAAATTCAGTGGGCTTACATTATGATTGCTCCAAGAGTCCTATTCTATTTGCAGAAGAGAGAATCCACATGTTGTGAGCAGAATGGCAATGACACTGCGTTTTATGAGGCTATTCAAAAAGCCACTATGGTTTATGTAGTGTAAAAGCTCTCAAGTTTTGTAGATTAACTCTACTACTTGATGCCATCTTCGCACCATCTTAAGTTACATTTTCTCTTTTAAATGATTCGACGGTTTAATTAATAAAATGTTTCTTGCAATATTTGGACCCATTATTATTAGTTTGACTTGTATTCTGGTACAAAACAAGTACAATTTTATTTTCTAGTATAAATATTTATATTGGAAAAAAATTCTGAATATTATTGGCTCATGTAGATGCACCTAAAGTTTTGATATCCCAAAATGAAATGTTTTCTCTTTGATAACAAAATAAATTTCAGTTTAAAAGCAAGATAGAAAAGGTACGATTTTAATGAAATCTTGGATGCCAGCCAGTGTGATTATTTTAGGAACCTATCTGTTTTTTTATAAGAGTTTTATCAAACTGCCTGCCAAATATTCATGATCTATCCCTAAGCATATCAGGAAGAGTTGTGCTTTTCTAGTTGAAGAGGCTGAACCTTATTAGTGATAAAAATTATCTCAACAACTGCACCAAAACATATGAAAGAAAAAGATTTCCTATTAACTTCCTTCGGCATGAGAAAATTATGTTGTTTATTAGGTACAGGAACTCCAAATACAATTGGTCCATTCTCTTCTGGAGTCAATCTCAACATATTCCTGCAAAGAGTCTGTAGATTTGATCATTTTTTCTACAGCTGTCTCCTTATCACCACCACCCTGAATCCTATTTTCCAACTTGCTTAGGTAGCACACAGTCCTGACATGTAATATTCCCTACCACACAGAGGCCTCTAGGAATTTGGGTTTTTCTCCCATTCTCATGTCTTTTCTCTTAGAATCTCATCTCATGTGATTTCTCTTAGAATCACACCTCTATGACTTTGCTTACATTATTCCATACACAAAGAAAACCCTTTTCTCCTCTCTTCTGGGTATGGAAATTTTACTCATTCATCAAAATTACTTTTCCAATTTCTATAAAAATCCTTTCTCAACATCAGCACCCTAATGTGATTTTTCTTTTCTATGAAGTCATCCATCAATTATGGTCTGCTTTACGTAGTTGACAATTAATAATGTACTACACATTTTTGGTCTTGAAATGATATATAAATTTTTATTGCTATTTTCATACTTTTATTTCTTATATTTTCAATCTAACTGTTATTATTTTGAGATTGGGGAGAGAGGTTTACTCTTCTTGAGCTCCTCCAGTTCTTCATTAACTATATACCTCTACCTCATTAAGCTCAATAAATATTCATGATTATTCTATAATAGATCTGTTAGAGATCCCTGGGCACTTTATTAAGTAGAAAAACTTTCCTTCAGGTTTACTCTAGCTTTATAAAGTAGGAAAAATAATTCCTGGCATTAAGTTGTAACTATAAGCGTTATAAGAAAAGTAAAATTATACAGTGTTATGTATGTTCAGTGGGAAGGAAATCATGCTGTTCTGGGACTCAGTATCAGACAGCATTTCAGACAGCATTGGCATTTAATCAAACAACTGAATGATGCATTGGATTGAGAAGCACAGCTATAAGGATCATGGAAACAATTTAGTGATACATTATCAAATTATCACAATAATCACATACTTCAAATAATATTGGGACATCTTTTTAGGAAACCTCATAAAAAACGGAAATGACACCAAGGGATTTGGATAGAACCATAGTGTAAACTAAATTGGATTGGATGATTTCATTGTATCTCTCTTTGAGGTGGGGTAATTTTCAATGCCAATATGCTGTATCTTGATAACTTAATTCTAAAATGAGCTTAGTAAACTAATTTTACATAAGAATCAGAAAACAGAAAGGAGAAACTAAACTTATTTAATATTACAATCTCTGAAATTCAAGCAGAAATATTGTTTTTAAAATTTAGGGTTTGCTAACTATAATGAGAATGGAAGATACTATCTTTTTATTGTCATGTTGTTACATACTATATAGCATGTACATAATTAGTACAGGCTTTCTGGATTTCTAGAAAGAAAGCGTTTACATAAAACTGTGATCAAGGTATCCACATTTCAAGGAACTCATTTTAAAACCACCTGTAATAAGAAACCTTAATTTTTTATCTTTGCTTTTGAAAATCATATGGCATGTCTGTAATCCCAGCACTTTGGGAAGCTAAGGTGGGCTGATCATGGGGTCAGCAGTTTGAGATCAGCCTGGCTAACATGGTGAAACCCCGTCTCTACTAAAAATACAAAAATCAGCTGGGCGTGGTGGCAGGCGCCTATAATCCCAGCTATTCAGTAGGCTGGGGCAAGAGATTTGCTTGAACCCAGGAGGCGGAGGTTGCAGTGAGCTGAGATTGCCGCACTGCACTCTAGCCTGGGTGACAGAGCAAGACTTCGTATAGGAAAAAAAAAAAAAAAAAAAAAAAAAAAAGAAATCACATGGCATTAGTTCATTGCTTTTATTTGCAAAATTATACTATTATTTCTGCTGTAATATATTTCCAAGAACTCTGGGTGGATAACAACATATCTTTGTATCAAAATTTAATTCTACTTTAAAAACACTTACATAAAAACTATACCCTCGATGTTCCAGACCAGACTTCTTACTCAGAACATTTCTTTCTAATGTATCATGTAGTTGCATGTATTTATGTTATATTTAATCAAACTACCTTGAAACATCAAAATAAACTCTTAAAATCTTTACTCATTTTATATTTTATGTGGCAACAACATTACCGAGAGTTGAAATCATCTGCAGTTCTCAAGAAAATTTGCATTTAGCCCCTAATAATTGTAGAATAATTGATATTACCTTTAATGAATTACACTTTTTAATACAGCTTTTAGTTAACATGTAATTTTTATGTAAGCAGATGATGTTTTTCTTTCTAACATTAATTGAACTTATAAAATAGAAAAGAAATTTTTGAAAACTGCAATAGAAATATATGTTAAAAAAATTAAAATACTTGCTCACTTTGTGGTAACTATCATAATTTGGTTTTTAGTCTTTTATTTTTTTAAAAGGAATACTAATTAATTCATAATTTGACAACAATTTCCAAAGGAATTTTTTAATAAACAGATACATATATTAGTTAAGCTACTCTGCTTAGAAGTCATATAAAGGAGAGAAAATATTACATTACCATGATTCAAGAAGGAAAGTAAGTTTAAAAATTTAATTCATGAAAATATTCTATGCCTATATCCAGAAACAAAATCATCAAACTGTTTCATATGTCATCTGATGATTTTGTCTTTATTGTCATATTCGTCACAATCTCAAATATATGTAAACAATCATTTCTTGGTTGGAATATAATTTTAAAAGTGCAGGAAGAAGAAACTTTAAACACTACTGACAGTATAGATCCATAACAGTTCCATTGTGACTAATTAGTACACTCCGACCTAGTAGGAACTTGTTGGCAGTGCTAAGCAACCAGGTCATACAGGGTAAGGCTGGAGGCTGCTGGCATGATTTGTTCACTGATGCTTGAAGTGATACCTGCATCAGAGAGGTTACTAAAGAGCTTACAGGCCTTGATCATTAGAGGAAGAAGGCAGAATGAGATGGTGCTGTGGCATTGTGCTTTACCTTGTAAGCATTTCTCTTGGAGAAGACTACACAGCTGAAACCCCCCATTAGTTGACATGCTCTCCATTCCCTTCATTCCTCCTGTGCCAACCCTGTTTTGTGGGCACATTGAAAGCACTATCCTTGCCTTATTCACAATATCATTTCATGGACCAGCTTGATACAGTGCCTAGAACATACTTTAAGTGTTCAACGAATGTGGAATTGAATTGCTGGTAAAATGAGCCCACTGGCATAACCTGCCCCCTCACAGATGCTCTGGCCAGCACTCACTTTATTCCTTGCCACACAATAGTTGGCTACTCCTGTATCAATCAATTACTGCAACTGACAGTAATTACTGTCAATTAAAGTATACTTCTGAAAACAAATCATTGAGAATTCCCGAATGCATTCCTGTTGTCCTTCCCTCCTAATCAAATTCAATTAACCAACACCCCTCCTGAGAGAAGAATCTTCAGGGGTTGGCAGAGCATCTGAAATAAGCCTAAGGTTTCTATTGGTATTCAGAAAAATAGCACGTAACTCTGGGCCCTAATGAAAGAATGAGAACCAGAGCTGTAAAGATAAGCAACAAAGAACAGAACATGAATGAATCTTAGAAAATAAAGGGAGCTCTGGTAACCTGAATAGTACTGGGAGACTCTGATTAATTAAATGCAATACTCACTTAAGAAACCATCACCCAAAAGACCTAGTGGTTTTTATGGCCCCGGAAGAGCTTCTAGACCATTGTTTCACCCATATTCCTAAGGCTAGAAATGCCCTAGCTTTGTAACTGAGAAAATCAGGTATCAGGCAGGATTACTCCTGGCTTCTGGCGGACAAAGATTTCATACCACCTGGTATTCTTTTAAAGCCAGAGACAGCCCACCAATTTCAGGGCTTAGCAACATAAAGCATTCCAACAATCAGACTGGTGTATGGTGAGGCAAAATAATGGCAGCAAAAGACAGGAATAATAAGTAAAAACACAAGTATTTGTATTTATTTTAAATGAAACAGACTTGCTAGAGAACTCAGATGCCAGCCTGAATAAACAACAAGGGAATTCAGAGAAATTTCACTTAAGTCCACCTAAACAGAAGATATTTTAAAAATTTAGTTCTCAAAGGAATGTGAATAAAAATATGTTTTTTTTTAAAAGAATTTAACTTTTGTAGATAGACTGAGAACAGAAGAATCACTAATGACATCTTAATGATTGCGCTGGGAGATCAAGTGGAGGAAATATCTCAAAACGAAGCACAAAAATAGAAATTATGAAAGAAAAAATTTTTTAAAGTGTGAAAACAATGCTGATATTGGCAACTACAGCTAGGTAGGGGTCACTAAGTTACTGGATAAAAGATTTAAAAAAAAAGAAACACAGGTAAGCAAATCCTAGTAAAATGCCTGAGACTTACAAAGAAAAAACCTTGCACACTTCAAGACCGATGAATTAGACCAAAAAATGACAGAGAACGAATTGTTGTCAACTTTTCAACCACAATAATAAGTTGCATGGGAAAAATATTAATGAAAGAACAGGACTGAAATCCTATAATCCTGAATTTAAAATATCAATTATTTGTCAGGAATAAGAAAGAAATTTGGATGTATAAAAACATTCATAGGCCAGGCGCAATGGCGCACGCCTGTAATCCCAGCACTTTGGGAGGCTGAGGTGTGTGAATCACCTGAGATCAGGAGTTCAAGACCAACCTGGCCAACATGGTGAAACCCTGTGTCTACTAAATATACAAAAGTTAACTGGGCATGGTGGTGCGTCCCTGTAATTCCAGCTACTTGGGAGGCTGAGGCAGGAGAATCGCATGAACCCAGAAGGCAGAGAGGTTGCAGTGAGCCAAGATCACGCCATTGCACTCCAGCTTGGGCTATAGAGCAAGACTCTGTCTCAAAATAATAAATAAATAAATAAACAAAACATTCATAGATTGTATCACCTACCTACACTATTTATTTAAAATGCTCAATATGAGCTTCTTCCATTTGGAATTTTATTTCTGCTGAATAATAATTCTAAATATAGAAGAGCCAGTCTATAAAGTAAAAGCTATTAATTATCTTGAAGGAAAGTATTAAATTGTTTGAATAAATCTTAGGAACAAATAGAGAAAACAACCTAAAAGAACTTGGATAAATCTATGGAGAGGAATGGGCAGCAGAATAAGGAAATAACAACATTCTAAAGAAATCTTGCCAAAGATCAAATATAAACTGCTGGAGAATCAAAGTTTTGGTAGGGCAGGATATACTTTCTCTCTTTCTTTCAAATATTACAGGAGATACATGTTTGATTATTAATATAAGGAAAGGAACAAATGATAAATATAAAGCTCTGAAATGTAATCAATAACTTCATCAAATAAAAATAAGAAAAAAGGAAAAATGTAAAGAAAACAGGTAGTATACATATCTACAATGTATCTTATTTCCTCAAACTATGCATCTGTATAAAAGTAAGACAACTATTAAATACTTATATTAAGATTGTCCCTAGATTTGATTTTAAGAAATCTAATTTTCTTTTTATTCAGGTCACAAAATTGGACAATATTATGGTCACAGTTCTTCTAACTTGTTTTTTTTTTTTTTTTTACCTAAATAAGTTCTTGTCTCATTTCCTACATGATTTGGCATACTCATAAATTCAAATTTCCATGATTCATACTACCTACACTATATATGAATGATTATGTATGCATGGTAAATAATATATTAATATATATTTTGGAGGACATTCTGAAGGAATATGTGTTTGTGCATTTATAGAACTGAATGTCGATGGGATTATGCTTCCCTGTAAATTTATACAATAGTCTCACAGATGTTTTAAGTTTGCACCTGATAGACTCACAATTCAAGCAGCTTTTAATTTTTGTCATGTTTTATTTATTTATTCCTAGTCCATTCATTAAGAAAGTTAATTTTTTAAATCAATTGAATCCAATTGAGCAAAACTTTAAAAATAATCAAGGAATTATTTTTAAAAGCAAATGATATTTTAAAATTAAAAACCTTATCCTTTTCGTGTATTCAACAAATTTATCTTTTGCATAATCAGTTTTTAGCTTTGTTATTTAAATATAAATGCCTTTAATTGACAGATATACCCTTAATTGCCCTTTACTGGAACATACTTGGCACATATATGCTCTTACTGCACAAAGTTCTTCATCATTTCTAATAAATTTTAGATTTCTTCTAAATAAGTTCCTGAAATTCACTATATTTTGCAATCCAATTGTGAACTGACTTGGGACCAATTTACTAATGCTAACTCTTGAATTCCAATCACATTATTCCCCTTGTGCTACCTTATAATAATACTTAAAGCAACAACAACTACAACATTTATGCAAAGGTGGGATGACTTCCTCCTCCTCTCTCCATTTTTTACCTATAACCTCTTTTCTACTTCTCCCTTCTTGTCTTCCTTATCTTCTTCTATATATCTCATTTTATTTTGAGCAATGAAGTATTTTTCTTTTTTAGTTTTGTTTTTGATTATCACTGAGCTCATGATATTCTGAATGCTTTTTAAATTTTAGTACATAGTGAATGTTTACAGCTGTATTTATTACTTATGCAGCTAAGATTTAAGAAGTCACTTTTGAAAAGCAATGATAATTTTTTATTTCCAAAAATAAAAAAGACAAACATATGGCACGATCCTTTTACGTAAAATTTTTAAATATGTACTAAATTTATATATGACCATAAAGGAAAAGGTTCTTGCAAGCAGTGGAAAAGAAGTCAATAGGAAAATTCAAATATGTGCTGGAAGCAAAGCTGGAAAAAAAGATTGTGCAGGGAAATAATTAGTGATGATCTGCAAGAGAGAAAAAGGTGAAGAAGTGCAACATATTTTTAATTCTCTGGCTCTTGAAACACATTTGTACCGTGTCTCCTCAGAAAATTCTTAGCTAGATTTTAAGATGTCTTACATGTAAAGCCTTTCTAAGTAATGCTGTAAAAGATCATTCAATCTGAATACAAAGATATAATTTAGATAAAATTATAGGCTAATATACTAAAATTTGTATTCTCTATTTTTTTAATTTTTAAAATAGTAATGCTTTCAGGTAGTTAAGGCTGGTGTTGAACAACATCTAGCTTCTTGTTTCACAGACCTTCTTTCAGATTTCTCCAACCTGGATAAACTAAATAGGATACACACAGATGGTAAAACCTTATGTTATCCTAGTCTGAAAAGATTAGCTTCATTAAAATGAAAATTAGATACCACCTGCTAAATATGTTTTGACACCTACTAAGTGGCATTCCATAAAAAATTCACAAATCCTTTTTTAAACCTTCAAAGACGCCTTGGAAGTATTTTGAAGCATTAAAGTGAACAACAAAGTCTCAAAGATTTTTTTTTAACCAGAGGAAAGTTATCCTATCTCATTTCCCACTCTCCAAACTATTGCTTTTATTTGTAAAAGAAGACTAAAAGTAATCTTTGAACTAAGGACTAAAGAAAGATTTATGACTTTCTTATATAAATATAAGGTAAAAAATAGGGGATAAATGTGATTTTAACTATTTGTTTCCCTCTGTGCCAATTTTAGGGAACTAGAAACAAATAACTTAGCAGCTGAATGTGAAAAAAAGACAATATTTGAAAGTGTATAAATTAAGTAATTTTTTTTTAATTTCACTGGAAAAAGATATCTGGAGGATCTTTTAACAAACATGTCTCATATTTAGGTGGTGTGAATATATGTCCCTTCTGGTTAGCCACAGTGTCATTTCATGCCTACTGTTTTAGCATAAGTATTAACAACATTCATTTTCATTTTCACAATAAAACTGTTTAAATGTCAAATTATATTATTATCCTTCATTTTAGTCATATATTCTATAAGAATTCTAAAAAAAAACTCCAATAATTTAATTTAACATAAATAAACATGGTTGGGAAAGACTGAAAAAAGGCTCTATAAAATCTCTCTGGAAAGAATACCATAAATAAACTTCAACTTCTCTTTCAATTTAGTCCTTGAATTTCTGTTACAGTTTTAGTGATGATTTTCCAACTTTTACTTGTAGTCAGATACATGAAGTTCTGTTGGCAAAAGGCAAGTTCTGCTAAATCTTCACTCAGACCTTCTTTACTGCTCATTTATACAAGATCTAAGAAGTATGGCTGTCTGTTTTGTTTTGTTTTGTTTTCAGATTCCAGTAAACTGAAATCTTCAAAGGTAGGGTATAACTAGAAGGAGGGTTAGAAACTGATTTCTGACATCCACAAAGAAGGAATACAAGGTAAAGGAGAGTGTGTACATATATTGAAATTGTGTGTCAGTCATTCTGAAATTAGGATAAATATCAGTTTTTTAAAATAAATAAAAATTTGCAATTCATTTTGTAAAGGATCATTTTCAAAATATTCAACATTAATTTAAAGGACATGGTGCTTACATGGTAAGCTTTACTTATTTGAAAATAATAATCAGTGCAGAATAATTTTTGCTAAAGGAATAGTAGTTTTTTTCTGTCTTGAGGAAATACAAATTCAGTTCATACATATTTACTTTAAAGCCTCTATAACTTATTTAGCCATAAAGATGGCTCATAGTTGCATCAAAAGTTTGCATGTCTGGGTATAGTTGCCAATGTCATGGAGTTGAATACTATCTAAAATCTTTCCGATCTCACTAGAGAAGCATAGGAATATGTTCTGATGTTCCTTCCTCTCCACAACTCACCTATCAGGAGGTTCTCAGATCAGAAAATGACCACCCTACACAATTACTTTGAATTTTAATTTAGAACTAACTCTAAATATGGTCATATATTTTGTAATGTTTTATTTATATTACATTATATTTTTATAATTCTAAACAATCAATATCCCCTTTAAATGGTACATTAAGCTGCTGTGATTATTCATTCAGCCTCCATGATGCTTATGTACCCGGATCTCATTCAATCTTGCCTACATTTCTGTTAGTTCCCTTAATTTCTGTATAACTTCCAACATTCTACTCTTATGCCTGAACAGTATAATTGTGTCAATCCTGCTAATTGTCTCTATGGCAACCTAAAATTATCAGCATCTCTGCCTGTGATCCTCTTAGCCACCTAAAATTATTTCATTCTACCTGTTTATACAAGAGATCCTCTACCTTATTTCTTCATTGTATAACAGGGAATCTATGTTGCTATTGTGTATGTTGAGTATTCCCCCATAGCGACTAGCCCTAGATTCTAGGAAATAGTTTCTTCTCAGTGACCAATAACCAGATGCTCAGAGGTAAAATAAACCTACTGGGAAGGTTATATGAACACAGGGAGCTTGAAATGTATTCCAGATAATTTTATGGTTAAGAAACTGAAGAAAGAAGCAGTTTCTTTGATCTAGACACTCTCTCGTGAGGAGAATTCTGGTTTTGCTTGACTGGAAACACATTATAATAGATTCCACATGAATGCTTTCATTTCTCTACTACTACAAAAGTGATTTTTAAATACTTTTCACTTTCTGTATATTTGAACAAAGTTTGATAATATTTTTATTAATTTTTCTCTATTCTGGAATTTTAATTGTGCTTCATCCCAATAATATAAAATGTAATAGAAATTCACTGCATAATTTTTATCTAACAATGGAGGAAAATGTAAAGTGAAATTATTTTTTAAGCAATAATTTTCTTTGTATTTTATTAAAAATGGCAAAAACCACAATGACTTTTGCACCAAACTAAAAATGTACTAAATGGCTACTGTGTACATAGCCCCTTTTTTAGTAAAATTAGAAATATTACTGATACAATGAAAAAATGAAATGCATAAACATACTACAAATGTAAAGATAAAATACACATTTGGCAAATCTTTTACAACAGAGCCATTTTAGTACAGTGTTTATGTGTGCCAGCAATTATATCAGCAGAATTAGACTTGATTCTGGTACTTGTTATCCTGGTAACCTTGCCCAACTCTCTTTTACAGATTTGTGAATATAAATGAGATAAAACAAAGCCTAGATACATGCAGAAGTTTTTTGTAATTAATATTATCAAAACAATATTATTTTTCTCATGTGACATGTAAAATAAGAAACACACTAAATGTTTCTGTGTCTATATAATGTAAGCTAATTCTAATACTAATGACCTGGTTATCTAAATACATAGGAATAAAATTCCCTCCTTTATACATGTAAAAGTGTATTACTAAAAAATTTTCCTGAAAATTTTTTAGTAATTTAGTAATTTCCTATCTAGGAATTTATAAAAAGGAGAATCCATTAAATTTATAAATTTCTAATGGCTCTCTCTCCAAAGAATAAACAAAAAAACCAAGTTCCACAGACACAAATATATGTTCACATCAACATAATAGAGTTTTATGGGGAAGAAAAATCTTGGTAATATAGGCAAAGCAATTATGAAAAATTTTCTCAATAGCAGATGTAATTGGTTTCAGATAATTTTGGATACCATAATGAATATAGCACAGTAACTTTTTGGCTCTGCAACAAAAATGTAAAAAATAATAGTTAAATAGCTGAAGTGCAAGGAGCTAATACTAATTGTCTTTGTCTGCATTTCTTTTTGTTTCTTCAAATCATATTGTGTCTTATACGTAAACTAAAAAGACAGTGTTAAGTCAATGTATGTGATGTTTTCTAACAAATGCTTCTGTTTTGAGGAAAGTGTTTAACTGATTGCTTTATATGGTTATTTCTAGTGGTCTCCTATTGGAAACAGCTGAAGGCTAAAAAAGGTCAAACTGTTCAAAATGATAGCAATAATTTAAACAAATTAGATAGCTAGAAAAGTCTAGATTTCAAAAATATGAGCGTTTAGCCATGGCAATCACGCTTTATCCTAAGGCCAACGGGAGTCAATGAGAGACAAATAAAGGAAGTGAAATAATTAGATTTAAAATTTTATTTTAGAAATTGATTAGCAGCAGTGTGTGGGATAGAAATGTGAGTGATGCACAAGGATGCAAGACACACCTCTAAGCTGCTGCACTTGAGTTTAGAGCAGCTGACACACTCCGTCATTAATTGAAGGTTAGTCTCAGAAAGATTTCATTCATGTGGAGAATGAAGTAGCTTTAGAATTTTATGAGTGCTGGGCTATGTCTCTCTTGTCCACTATGATTTCTGGCTGGCTTCAGCTACTAAGCTGATGGTGATGCATTACCCAGCATAGGTATCAGGTGGAAGAAAGTTAAATAAGAATATTTTTGAAAGACATCTGAATTCATGGAATTTGTAGAGTCGGGAGTCTGTGCTTCTTGAAGACTTAATAGAATAGTTTTATAATGCCCTCTTTTAGGAGAGTGACTAGGATAAAAACCACTTTTTTCTTAGCGAAATAGTAACATTAATCCTTAAAACTTTATTCAATTCAATTCTTTTTTTTTTTTTTTTTTTTGAGATGGAGTCTTGCTCTGTCCCCCGGCTGGAGTGCAGTGGCATGATCTCAGTTCACTGCAAACTCTGCCTCCAGGGTTCAAGCAATTCTCCGACCTCAGCCTAATGAGTAGCTGGAATTACAAGCATGTGCCACCACACCTGGCTAATTTTTGTATTTTTAGTAGAGACGGGGTTTCACCATGTTGGCCAGGTTAATCTTGAACTCCTGACCTCCAGTGATCCGCGCGCCTAGGCCTCCAAAAGTGCTGGGATTAGAGGCATGAGCCACTGCGCCTGGCCTAAAACTGTATTCCATTTAGCCCTGGGTATTGTTTACTTAGTTATTATGCAACCTTTTAAACGTTTTTGATAATAAAATTTTTTTGGTGGATTTCAGATATGACTCCTTAATACCTATTGTGCCATGCATCATTTTAAAAGCTGTTGGTTCCTAGGAGCCTTTGAGCTTCATATTCTGTGTTTACAGAGATACCACTTACTCTGAGAAACATGGAATATCTATGCCTCAGATATCATATGGAAATAGACTGAAACTACATAAAGGCTTTGTAGATATAAAAATGTGGTTCTGTTCTCTATCCAAGAATATCTGAAAGGATGTTCTAATGGAATATGTGGATGCTAACCAATGATCACTACAAAATAATCCTTGCTCTAACTCAGAATGATACATGCTCTTATGTATCTATACAATTGCCTGATTACAGAATAATGCTAAATGTTTACACATGTAATAAACATCATTTTGTCAAAAAATTGTCCCACTTTTGCTAATTGCACAACATTGGGGACGGTTAAAATCTTGAGACTATTTTACCAAGAAAGAATCTTCTAACCATATATAATAACCAAATAGTGAAGGAAGAGAATTGCTCTTGACAGTTCGGTAGAGTCTTTCTTTCCAGAATATACTCATAGGAAAACAACAGTTTTAATAAGATCCCTTTCTAGATTCAAAGACTCTGTTTACTTTTTAATAGGAGAATAATCTTCCACATTTAAAATACCTGTCCTGATGAGCATACAAAGCCTTTTAGGATAGATATAACTAAAATAATATTTAAAAATGCAAGCTTATGAATGACTAAAGATTCGGATTCTGGGAATAGACTGATGTCAGGGAAAGCCCATCCTCACAGAAAATGTTTTCATTCATTTTTGTATCCTGTGCAAAATTTAGGAACATGTACAATGCACAGTTTGGAAAAGGCATTACTGAAGTGGTTTAAATAATTTTGATCCAACTATTAATGCATATCTCCAAAAAGTACTCTATAAAGTGATATGAGAAATGTTTAGAAATGGTAATGCTTTTATCATCCACTGAAGAAACCATAGAACAATTAATCATAATTTATGTTTATCCATAGTGAAATCATAGAATATTGAAAATGAATTACTTTATTCTGTTGACATCATGTACACACACACACACACACCCAATAAGGAAACAGCTATTTATTAACAAATTCCATCTATCCATGAGGCATATACAAGACAAATGTGAAACATGACAATGAAAAAAAATCAGTTTAATAAGAAATGGCACAAGTCATTGCATCATTAATTTCAAATGGCAAGGGAAAGAGAATGTAGTAAAACACCAATGTTTTTGAGCTAGATATCAGTTGTTAATTTGTTACTTTAAACAATTTGGAAGTGATAAAGAACTGAGCTAACCTGATGACAATAAGAAAAGTACACAAGAAGGCTTATGTTAGACTTGGGGAGTATACAGTTATAGCAGAAGATAAAAGCATCAATATCCAGCACAAAACAGGACCGGAGCTCTTAGAAACTGTGGAACTGGAAGCATAGCTGATATTATCTAAGACCCCTTAACCAAGATGTCACAAATGCAAGATGCATATATATGCATGTGGTAGACTTTTCATTCAAAAAGTCTCCTTCCAAAGGTTTACAAATAAATGTTCTTATCCAGCCATTTATTATTTTCAAAAATAGTGATTCAGCAAATATTTATCGGGCTAATATGTTAGGGAAAAATGCCAGGTGGCTGGAATGCAGTGATATATAAGATCTACAATTTACTATAAATTGCTTATTGTGCAATAGGGAGAAATTATAAGTAAACAGAAAGATAAAATACAAAAGAGCAATACTAGCTTAATAACTCCAGTTGCATGTGTTTTTCATTCCATTCTATTTTTGTTTTTATTTTTAGATAGATACTAGATTTTATGTTTCAATTGTATGGATTTCTCAATGTGAACACTTACGGTTAATGATGCAAAACAGGCATCATTTGTTGGTATTTTAAATTTGTTTCTTCTGGTTTTTCTTAAAGGTTAACATTGAATTTGAGGAGAATTTGAGGAGAATCATCCCCAGATGCTTTATTTGGGGACTTTGGAGAGGACGGCCTCTTATGAAATCCCCCATAAAGCTCATGCTGAGATGGAACTGTTTCAATAAGGGATTTCATACTGGGAATTCAGAATCAGCATTTCATTTTTTCCCATGTTAATGAATGTACCACGGTAATTATTCCACACTACTTCTTCAATATGATAGAGTTATAGTGTCTAATGGAGGTGAGAACAATAAACCAACGTAAAATAACTATCCAGAGTCTAAATCATCTTGGGAACATAATGGCTGCAATATGCTATTCACTTCAATAAAGCATTTGTCCATTTGCTGTTCAGCTTAATAAAGCCTAATGATAAATACACTAAACTGATCAGAGCAGGATGCTATATAAGGGCTCATAAAATGAACAAAAATTACAAGCACATAAGAAAACTGGCATTCCAGGTTTTACAAATCAATAAAGATACCTATAATTTTTTCTTCTAACTCTATTTCTGTGTTCTCACAAACCTACACCATCCAAATGCATCTTTTAATTTTGAATACGATAAAGGTTACAAACAGGCAGATTATATTTCCATATATTTGCTATCTTATTAATTTTAACTGAATACAGAACATAGAGCCAAAAAGTTTTAATGATATCATCTATTACTATAAAGCATGAGTAACAGAATTTGTAGTTCCAAATGAAATTCTTCCTCAACAACACTACAGTTAAATAAGTTATTTTATTAAAAAGTGATCCCTGTGACTAATTTTAAGGAAACGTACTTTTGATTTTAAGGAAACATATTTTTAGTTTCCTTGTTTGGAACACATCCTCATATAAAGAAGTAGCTCCAAAAATGCAAAGACTTCCTTAATTTTAAACTTTCATGAATTTCACAGAAGAACAGTCATCTTTTACTCTAAGTGAAATCATTTACTTTTTTTTTTTTTTTTTTAAATGGAGTCTCGCTCTATCGCCCAGGCTGGAGGGCAGTAGCACAATCTTGGCTCACTGCAACTTCCAGCTCCCAGGTTCATGTGATTCTCCTGCCTCAGCCGCCTGAGTAGCTGGGATTACAGGCGCGCACCACCACCGCTTGCTAGTTTTTGTATTTTTAGTAGAGACGGTGTTTCACCATGTTAGCCAGGCTGGTCTTGAACTCCTGACCCCAGGTGATCCACCCGCCTTGGCCTCCCAAAGTGCTGGGATTACAGGAGTGAGCCACCGTGCCCGGCCCTTATTTACTTTCAATAATGAACAAATTAGATGAATCATTTCATCATTGTTCAATCAAAGACAATTAAACTTGTACCATGATTTTATTTATTATTGTTGTTACATGGAAATATTCCTCTGCACCAATCAAAAGCATTCAATAATTTTGAGGAATATTGTTACAAAATCGAGATTTCAATGAGATGTGTGTCTAAATATGCTTTTGATGTATCTAATTATATAATTTTGATGTATTTTGATTTCTTAAATAACATTTAGGACATGGATGTTTTAAAAATATCTGAATGAATATAATTATTTCTGTTGAGTTTTTAAGTTAAAACAGCTTCATTAAAAAAATTATATTGTTATCAACCATAGAGTGCAATGTAAACTTCCTAAATCTGCATATTTATTATTGCTGTTTGTAGTTACAGTAGAAGGGGCAACCATATTTATTTCATATTTAGTTTACTCATAGGGAGTATTTTTGTGGGTAGTAATGTCTTCTGAGGACTTACCCACCTATACACTGTGTTTTCTATCTATTGTCTAATATAATCATCACAGCAATACTATGGGAAATGTACTATCACTAGGTATGCTTGTGTTATAAATTGGTGGTATAAATTGGGTAGGCTCTGTTGTTCTACTGTAGTCGCAGTTTCAGACAAGCACAGAGAGGGTCATGAGACTCCTTGAGTAGAGTTTTCTCAGCATGTCTATTCCCCAAAGAAGCCAAACCTTGCCTTTATTTTTGATCATTCTTAAACAGATGGGAGTTTCCTGGTCTTTCCCCAGGATTATCAGACCTGTGCTTGCAGAATGCAGAGTCCTGAGCCCCAGATGATTTCTCACTTCTCCTTCAGGCACAAGAGGTACGTTCTTTTACCCTTCCTCAGCATTAACATTTCTTTGATTAAATCCCATGGGCAGCATGCCTACCCCAGAGACAGAAGGGTTTTTGGTTACATTTTGACCTCAGAAGCAGTGGAATTTTGCCTTGCTTGTGGAGATTAGTTTGTTTCCCATTTCCCAGTAACATAAAGATTTTGCTTCATATGAGAGTCTAGAAAAGTAGTGCAAGCTTCCCAATGATCCCTCAGCAGTTACCTCCTTCATGCCAGCACCCCAAATCCTTCTAAAAAGCATCCAGTGGAGGCATAAGAAGATAAGTTGTGAATGAGTGCTAAGTTTCCTTGTGACTGGATCTCTGCTATTTCAAAGTGACATACTGGGGAAGTTGATTTATTTGTTTGCCTTGTGATCTCAGCTCTTCGATGGGTTGAATAATAGTTATAATTTTGTAGATTATTCAGCTTTTTCTCACTGGTTGTCAGAACCGGTGTCCTCTTTTAACTTTTTATATCCCCAAAATGAATGTAAGAATTTAACCAAACATTTGACAGGAATTGAGTATTAGATTATGTCACATTATACCTTTATAGAAAGTGTAGCATTCAAGCAATAGCTACATATAAGAATCATGACATCAGAGTTTCAAAATTCCATCAGTGAATTCATCAACAGAATCGACACAGTTGAGGCACTGAGCCTGAATCTGAATCAAAAGAAGTTCTACAAACTGAATCAGAAAGAGGAAAAACAAAGAATAAATAAATCAGAATATCTAACAGCTATAGGGCAATATCAAATGTTATAACATATATGAAATTGTTTTCTTAGAGGAGAAGAGCAATAGGACAGAAAATGATCAAGAATTTCATAAAATCAATGAAAGCCAAAAACAAAACACACAAAACTGCCGATCCAAGAACCCAAGACAACACTATGTAGCAGGAAAAAATAAACAAACAAACAAACAAACAAAAAACCCACAACAATTTAAAAACACACAAACACTTAGAGAAAACATTGATAAATTGTTGGAACTGAAAGACCAAGAGAAAATTAGTAAAGCCAGCAAGGGTGGGGAAAACAGGGGAGTGGGATATAGCATATAGAAGAATAAAGATAAAAAGATAGAAATTCTTGCAAGACAAAGACAATGTAGTTATTTATTGGATATGTTGAAAATACTAAAATAAAATCACTTCATCCCACAGTCTATTATCTAGTGGAAATATCTTTCAAAAATGAAAAGAAAATGAAGAAACTGGCAAAAACTTGAGAGATTTTAATGTCAGAAGGCCTGTTCTAGTAGTAGTATTCATTTTTCAGCACGAGTATAATAACAGATAGAAATTGGAATCTACCCAAAAAATAAGGAGCACTAGATGGTAAACATAAAAGTAACTCTAAAATGTATCATATTAAATGTTTAAATTTAAATACAAGAAATAATATAATATCTATGCTTCTATATTAAGAAACTGGAAAAATAAATTTAGGTCTAAAAAATTAGTCTTGAATTAAACTTTCTGTTTAAACGAAAGAAATAAATGAGAAATAAATCAATGAAATATAAATCAGAAACGCAATAGGAAAATGAATTAAAATAAAGTTATTTGGAAAGATCAGCAAAAATAGTATACCTGTAACCAGATAGATCATAACAAAAAAGAGAATGTACAAATCACAAATATCAGAAATAAAAGAGACATTAAGAGGCTAAGGGAGGAAGAACATAAACAAATGTATATCAATATGTTTGATAATTTATATGAAATGAACACCAAAATCTAATGAAGAAAAGCCATAATTAAACGTTCCTTTGGGTTATACTGTATATCCATATCTCTGAGCTGTATCATTGCACCAAAACCTAATATTAAAAATTTTTTAGAGATGTTAAGCATCTGTTCATATACCTGTGGGCCATTTGTATCTCTTCTTGGAGAAATGTCTATTCATATCCTTTATCTATTTTTATTTGAATTATGTTTTCTGCTTCAGTTGTAGAGTTTCTTATATATTTTGGATATTAATCCCTTATGACATATATGATTTGCAAGTATTTTCCTCCATTCCATTGGTTGTCTTTTTACTCTGTTGATTCTTACCCTTCTTATTCCTACTATATTATCTGTGTTTGTGTGTGTGTGTGTGTGTGTGTGTGTGTGTGTGTGTGTGTGTGAAAGAGAGAGAGATTTATAAGGCTATTTTACATCACTTTTTGAAAGGACAGAATGTAAATTTCAGCAAACATAAATATTAATCTGGTTTTCTATGTCAAATTGGAAAAGTTATGTTAAACTTTCAAGTTTTATTATATTTACATATATGACAAGGAGTATATGAAAGGAAAAATGTAAGAAGCTCAATTTATATAAAATATGAGGCTTATGAATGATGTACCCCTTTATTTCTATTTTTTATGCTGTATACCAAAGGGCATGATATTACATTAATTACTTATTTTTTACTATGTGCTTCTAATGGGATGATAAAGGTGATTACCGGTCAGCTATCTTTAGTTTTTAAGTGGTTAAAAATAAAAACTAATTTTATATTTTTTTATTTTATTTATATTTTTATATTTTATTTTCATTATAAGATTTACATACTGGCTGGAATGTTGAATTGGCCACTTTATGTTTTAGAGATTCAAGTTTACAAATAGAAACCAGAGGTCAGGTAATCTAATTTGAGTGTTAATGAGAACCCATTAGCATAGTTTTCTTGGTGGATTTCACAAGTTCCATCATTTTTGTTATCTACTGTATATTTACATGATTAGTTTTCACTATACTCATTATTTCTACAATTTCAAATCTTGTTTCCAGGCCCAGAAAATTTTTAGAAAGCTATTTATGTAAAATTCCACGTAAAATTTATGTAAAATTTTATGTCAGACATACAAACATAAAATTAATGCAGAGCAGATGATACACTGACATATGCAAAGTCTGAAGCTTAAAATTCTCAAATATTTTTATTACAGATATTTTTGCAAATTGTTTTTCTCTCTCTCATTTTTCTTTATTTATTTTTTGAGGCAGAGTCTCATTCTGTCGCCCAGGCTGGAGTGCAGTGGTGCAATCTCAGCTCACTGCAACCTCCGCCTCACAGGTTCAAGCAATCCTCCTGCCTCATCCTACCAAGTAGCTGGGACAACAGGCACGTGACACCATGCCTGGCTAATTTTTGTATTTTTAGTAGAAATGGGGTTTTACAGGCTAGTCTTGAACTCCTGACCTCAGGTGATCCACCCACCTGGGCCTCCCAAAGTGCTGGGATTACAGGTGTGAGTCACCAGGACTGGCCTATTTTTCTCTTTATAATGGTCCTGAATTATATACACACACATACACTCACACACACACACACACACACTATATATATATATATATATATATATATATATATATATATATATATATGCACACACCTTATTTATTATATATAAGGACAATATAAATCATAAATAAAAGCCATATAAGCAAATAAATTTATTCAATTAGAAACATTTGAATATTCTCACTGATTCCTTCCCAATCCCCAACTGTCATCCTCCAGGATTAGGATGCTTCATCCAGCCTAAATATATTTGCCATAAACGTCCTCAAGTTATTAGCAATATCGAAAATAAGAGTAATGATAATATTAAAATTATAAAAATAACAATAACAAAATGACCTGCCTGTAGCAGCCACTTAAATATTTGTTTAATAAATAGATAATTCTTAAATGTATGGTAAGCACCATGATTAGATCGCTACATGAAGTTTTCCATGTAATCCTCCATATTACATATTTCCATGTAATATGAAGGAAATATTTTCATTAATCTGAGTTTAAATATGAGAAATTATAATGCATAATAATGTAAAATAGCTTAAGATCAAAGCTAAAAAGTGGTAGATATGAGATTTAGATCAAATATATACAACTCCATACCTCATAAGTCAAACCTGTATAGTACTTCTTCATATGACGCTCTTCATAATCATCCTACTATCTCAATATCTACTGAACTAGACCCAGAATTTTTAGTCTGAATCTTAATCTCTCCATTAACTTATTCTGATGTACTGCTTCAATTTTATGCCATATTCTTCTTTATTCAACAAGTATTATATAAAATATTATATAAAATTATGTTGGCTTTGCATAAAATATTGAATGTGTCTCTCCACCTTCCTAAACCATCATCATTTAGAATCTGTTTGGAACCATTGATCTTCCAGAAACTCTTTTCTGAGTACTCTATGAAGATGTGGTTAATTAATATTCACAATTCCTATAATATTTTATTTCCTGCTTACATACAGTATATAATAAAGTATATTACTGCTGGGGCTTCTGGAAGTCAGAAATGACATTTTATCTTTACCTTCTTTTTATAGTTACTAACTTTCTTCAAGGGAATTACTGAATCATTATGCAGCTTGGATGAGGCATCTTGGTGCCTTGCCTGTAGCAGTGATCTTTCAATAACCAACTCTAGTTGTGTCAGATACCATCTTTGTGACTTTGGGTAGGTTACAATTACTATAAATGAATAGAAACATTAGGTATAGCAACTATTGTCAGTTAAAATGTTCCCTATCAATTTGTAATGTTTCTTTCTCCCCCTCCATCCTTCCACCATAGATTTACCTTGTTCTATCACAGTGTGAATAAAAACATACAAATTTGGGAGTGGTCAGTTTTACAAGTTAGTTTACATGGAGAGCACCTTGCTTTATCATTCACGTAGTTTAATCTTCTTTCCTATGCCATATCAGAGAGGTTAACTAACTGTGCGTTCTCATATGCAATATTTCCATTTCTTAAAATTCTTCAAAAATGTATAAGCTAATTTGCCACACTGTCAGGTGTGGCAGGAAACACCAACAGGGGCATTCTGCTACTTAACATTCCAAAGAGGCATTTTAATTTTTTTCTGTTGCTTGTTTACCTCCCTATCCCTGTAGCAGCCTGAAAAGGCTCCCTCAGACTTCTAAATATGACTTTCATTATTCTGATTTTAGTTTGGCAAACTTACTTACACCTTCCGTATCTACTTCATCCAGATCCTATTCTCCAGACATCTGACCCAGCTTGGTAATCACATTCTGAAATCTGATTGCTCCCTGAATCTTGTGGTTGGTGTTCCTGACCCAGGATTTTACTCTAGCTTTGATCGTCCCAGTGATATTTATTCAGTAACGAGAGCTTTATTGCTTTTCCCAACATACATATTGACTGTCTTGATAAATTAAACTGATAAAACATGACATCACTTGAAAAGGGGAAAACTAACTCAACATTCAACTGGCATCCTGTATAAATCAAAATTCTCTGAGCAGTTATAAGCTTGTATTGTTATTGTGGTTATTATTATTAGTATTATTATTATTGTGAGACAGAGTCTCACTCTGTCACCCAGGCTGGAGTGCAGTGGCACGACCTTGGCTCACTGCAACCTCTGCCTCTCAGATTCAAGCGATTCTCTTGCCTCAGCCTCCTGAGTAGCTGGGACTTCAGGCATGTGCACTACAGCCAGCTAATTTTTGTATTTTCTGCTAGAGACAGGTTTTCGCCATATTGGCCAGGCTGGTTTCTAACTCCTGACCTTGTGATCCGCCCACCTCAGCCTCCCAAACTGCTGAGATTACAAGCGTGAGCCACTGCGCCCAGCCAAGCTTGTACTTTTGACCAACTATGTCAGTTGAACAACAAGTTTGTCTAGATGTGTCTAGTGTATTCTGTCAAAATATTCCATGTATGGATACAATCCTATGTTGCAACATATTATTAGTATTTATAGTTCACAGATGTTGCTATTAAAAATAAATTTCTAAAACAATGATAGACATAGAATTTAGAGAATAATGTTAATAATAAAAATAAGCATTTAATATTGTAAAATAATACATTGTTTAAGTGATGTATACTGAGTTTGAAGAATTAATTAGTAACATCTTCTTCCGTTAGAGTTTTTAAGTTATGCGTCTCTAGATTCTTTCAGCCAGAGACAAGTCAATCACAAGCCAGAATTGAGCAACAATCTGCCCTGTGATATGATTTGATAAGACCAAATTAACAAATAGGCTCATATTCTGACTTAAATTAATCTCGTCTTAAAAAAAGTAGATTTTAATTGGGTAACTATTGTATTTTCTAAAACAGTTAACATAACTAAATGGAGTCAAATTATATTCTTATTTGCCTTTGACCAATTCAACCAGAAGGAGAAGGTGCAAGAATAGAATAATTATTTTTATTTCATTTTATATTTTTTAATTTAACTTTTAAGTTAGATGCAGGGGTACAGGTGAAGGTTTGTTACATGGGTATATTGCACCCCGGTAGTGAGCATAGTACCCAATAAGTAGTTTTTCAACCCATGTCCTCCTTCCTCCCTCTGCCCTCTAAGTAGTCCACAGTGTCTATTGCTCCCATTGTTCCCAAGTTTATGTCCATGTGTTCTCAAAGTTTAGCACCCACATATAAGTGAGGACATGCAATATTTGGTTTTCTATTCCTGTGTTATTTTGCTTAGGATTATTGCCTTCAGCTCCATCCATGTTGCTACAAAGGACATGATTTCACTGTTTTTTTATGGCTGTGTAGTATTCCATAGTATATATATAAATATAGATATATATAAATCTTGAATAAATCAAAATTCTCTGAGCAGCTATAAGCTTGTATTGTTATTTTATATATATATATATATATATATATATATATATATATATATATATATATATATCACATTTTATTCTCCAGTCCACCACTGATGGGCATATGGATAGATTCCATGTCTTTGCAATAATGAATAGTGCAGTAATGAACAGACAAATGCATGTGTCTTTTCAGCATAATGATTGACACAAATAAATTGAAATACTTTCTAAGCTCATGGATTGAAAGAATCAATATTGTTAAAATGGTCATGCTTCCCAAGGCAATTTACAGATTCTGTGCTATTCTTATGAAACTACCAACATCATTCTTTAAATAATTGGAAAAATAACATGAAATTCATCTGGAACCAAAAAAGAGCCTGAATAGCCAAAGCAATCCTAAGCAAAAAGAATGAAGCTGGAGGCATCACACTACCTAACTTTAATCTATACTACAAGGCTATACTGATGAAAATTTTATGATGCTAGTACAAAAACATACATATAGACGAATGGAACAGAATAAAAAATTCAGAAACAAAGCTTCACACTTTCAACCACCTGATTTTCAACAAGGTCAACAAAAACAAGCAATGAGGAAGACTCCTTATTCAGTAAATGGTGCTGAGATAATTGGCTAGTCATACTAGAGAATCATTTAAATAGTGTCTGTGATTCACATAAATTCCTTATTACCATTCTATTAAATGAACACTTATCCTGGAGTAATTACCTCTATCTTTTTCTTTCCGTAATTTCTTAAAATAGAAGAGTAATACTTCTCTACTTCCAGGAACTTTAAGGGTACTCTATAAGATTACAGAAAAAATTAGAAGCCTATAAAGGTATATGAAATTAAAGATAATAAACAATTTTCTCAAGACCTTTGAGTAAATTAAACTTCCAATTTTGTGTACTTGTCAGTACAGCTATATTAATTCTGGCTTACCATGTTTACGTCATATACACATTCAGCCTATCCTGCTGACTTCAGAAATTTAACTCTATTGAGAGGTGATTTCACTGTATTGAGATCATACTTACTACCCTTGTCAGCATGTAGAGCATAGAAACCTCACGAAACTAGACACCAGCAAGAATAATCAAATGAGTACTTTTAAAAGCTGAACAAGAGAGTTGACAACTTCCTAAGAGCTACAATGAAGTAGAAGGGGAGCATAGTGAGCAAGGGAGCTCTAATCACAGGTAGCAGATGAAATAGGGATTTTGAAGAAAGCTCAAAGGAAAAGAGGACTGAAGTAGGTTGAGGGATGGCACCCCCAAAAGATATGCCTACACCTTAATTTCTGTAACCTATGAATGTTACGTTACTTAGAAAAAGAGTACTTGCAGATGCAATTAAGGTTAGAGCCTTGAGCGACCACAAGTCAAGGAAAACCAGTGCAGCCAAAGAAAGGCAGAAAAGACAAACAACATATTCTCCCCAGAGCCCTGCAGGGATCACAGCCCTGCCAAGTTTGAATTTTGGACTTCTAGCCTTGAGACCTGTGAGAGAATACATTTCTGTTGTTAGAAGCCACCAAATTTGTGGTAATTTGGTACAACAGCCTCAGGAAACTAAGACAGGCACTGTGGCAAGAGAAATCACTTCATAATTTTCCTGGAGTTCTTGATGATAAGCTCACCCATAGTTATAGATTATCTTTCCTACTAAGGAGAAAAATGTAAAAATGTTATATTTCAACACTATATTGACTCAAGAAAACTATTAAGTAATCTCATGCAAACTTATGAAAATAAAATTTGATTAATGATTTTTGTGATTATCATAAGAAATGACATTCACTTAAAGCAAGACAATTCAAGTAAGTTATTTAATTCTCATTCCATTTCTTTCCTTTCTAGATCCTGATGGTTTCTTATGCTTTTACTCTAACAAATTCATGTAAAACATTCATTTTAGTAGAACTGAGAAGATACGTGTATTTTTTGACAAGAAAAATTATTTGTAATCATTATTACACAGAAATTGTAAGAAAACTAATCAGAAGGGAAAACATGTTCCAAAATAACAATAATAATAATACTCATTATGCAATAAACAATTTTAAGCTAGTAATTACAATGTTTCAAAGAATCACATTCTATCAATTACGCTAAAACTTAATTTATGAAATGCTTTAATAACATTTGATATTTATTTGAATATTCTATGTACTCACTCCAACATTATGTCTCCCTAATTGCCTCTCTATTTTCTCCAAAGTCCAGATCAAGCCTGTCTCCTCAATAACATGTTTTTAGCTAACTGAAGCCCACAGAAGTCTCCACTTTTGGAATTAATTTATATTACTTATCAATCATTTAACGTAGTTTGTTCCTATTGATCAATTAATCTATTTCCTGATTCACCAAATAAAATTGAAAGGTCTGAAGAATACTCCTCAATAAGCAGCAACTTTATAACTATCTCTTTCATTTTCAAAATCTGGTTCTGCTTTTCCATGTGAACTTAATGAATGTATCTGTGCCTCAGTTTTCCCATATGTAAAATAAAGAACATCATCAAATCTAATAATATGTAAGTGCTCATTTAAACAGAACAATACGGAGGTATTGAAAATGCTACATATTTGTTGATTAATATAGTTAAAAAATCCAAATAAACACATTTTGTAAAACTTTCTCTGGAAAATTTAGGCATTTTTTTAATCCATATAACCACAGTTTGTAATAGGTAAAATTTTATTATGAATTAGACTTGGACCATTCTAACAGTTTACCATTTGTAGTACACTAAATCCACTTTAGCAGAGCAAAGACTAAGGAGGACTATGTATCTTAACAACTTTTAAAAAACCATGTAATTATTTCCATAGCGTGCACAAACTAAACTTGAAGTAAGTCCACTAATGTATCATAATTATACACAAGGTGTAATATTTCCCACCATTATTATTTTTTCTGAAATCACTACATTGTTAAATATATCTTTATCAATAACCACAAATATCTAAATTGTATTAGCTTTTCAACTGGCTCATATGAGATACTTATTCTCACTGTAACGAATTTTGACACTGTGATGATCCTCAGAAATGCAGCCACACCATAAAGAAAGTCAGCTCCACAAAGGAAACTCATAAATCCTGAGAAATCATTGGAGATGTCACACTGGGCCTTGAAGAGTAGCATTTTACCCCCGCAAAGAATTGCTGTGAGTGTTCCTAGCCAGAATTACCTTATTAGCAAACATTTCAGATAGGGAGATGTGGACAGAAAATTGATGACAAATTTGAAATTCTATATTGGGAGAGGCGTACAGAAGGAAGAGAACGTCTGCAGAAACAAGATGGAAAACCATAAAGGGAAAAAAAGAAGTCAGATATATTTAAAAGTGTGTCCAAGGTAAGCCATTTACTTAAGAATGTCATAGAAGTATGATCACAGCATGGTGATCAAAACTATTTCATACTTTTGCTTTGGCAATTAAGGTCCTAAAGAACTTGTTTTCAATGGCCATTAAAAAATGTGCAAAATCTAATCATCTGACAGAGTTTTGATGTAAATATGAGCATACAGCTTCACAGTGCTAGGGAAGACACTAAAGAAAAATGCATGACCAGCTTTATGATGATGTTTTAAAGACAGGTTAAGCTGTCTTCTATCATTAAGATGCATAACTAATTTATTAAGCACATCAAGTCATGCTACTAAAATGCAATTTTATGGAGATGAAGCAAATAATGCCTTTTCAGGACTAAGTTTGAAATACAAAATTTAAGTTGTAGGGGTAAAGCCACTGACTACTTCCAAACAATCAGACTAAGAAGATTTCATGGTGCTATACTTTAAAGTAACTTACATTTTTTATTTTAGTTACATTTAGCTTAGGCAGGAGAGACAAAGAGGGAGAGCACTAGAGGAAAAAGATAACTGCACAAATAAGAGGTTGGTGGTAAAGAAAATCAAAGATATGGTAATTGCAGTAATATAGAAAATATTATTCTATGATATTGGATGGGATACAGTCAATTTTTTAATGTTATTTAGATCAATTTCTAGGCCGTTTCCTCATTTGCTTATGCAGTCATTTAGTCAACAAATATTTCTTGAGTTTATACTATTTCTAGGGCCTATGTTGTTCTGTAAAAGATGTAACTCTTGTATAGTACCAATAACACAGTTTATGGTATGTGTATGTTTGTTTTTCAATTTGTGTATCTCTATGTGTGTGTGTGATTATGTGTGAATATATATATTTATATATATTAAAATATATATTATTTTAATTATATTAATGTATTATATGTATATTAATATAATTAATATATATAAAAGAGGATATATAAATATATAAACATATATACCCTGTTTAATTGATGGACATTTTGTCAAAATAATGTTTCCTTCAGAAATATGATTTACAGTATTTATCTCTTTAAAATATATATATATTAAAACCAAATATAGCCAGGGTATTTATGACATTTAAGGAGCAGCCAAAATAGATTTATGTGTTGTGCTCATATGCCCTAGAGGGTTAGAGTGATAAATGGTGAGTATGATGCATAGATTCACATATTAAAGGTATTCAAGTATAAACTGACACAATCAAGCATACTGTCTCTGGCTCAGTAATCACTGAAACAGTGTTTGGAAAACCTAGAGTGAACCACGACAGTAGTATGTCAAAAACTGGGTCACTGGAAACTGTATCTATAAACTTCAAAGATGTGTCTGTCCATTTAGTCTAAACTAAATGACTTATTTTAGATTCAGATTGCAACTTTCTCCACAGTAATACTAAAATAAGGTTAACCATTGAGACCTTAAATATCTTTGCATATGGAAAAGTAAGTGCTGCATTAGCAAACCAAAACAGTTACAGTTAAAAAAAAATATTGTGCTAGAGTTTTCAAGTGCCTGCACTGCTGATTATGACAAAAATATTCTTCCATTCTTAAAAGATTTAAGTACATTTTCATAGTCTAACAATACTAAGCAAACACACACACACACACACACACACACACACACACACACACACACACACACACACACACATGAAGTTAAATCAAATAGTTTAGCCATCTGTTTTTGCAAAGGATTTTTATCCTAAGAATGACAGTGTTTTAAATAACTTCATTTCATTGTTCTTTGGACCACTCCACCAGTCGGTAAAGTATATATTATTTCAATTTTATTAGCCTTATAAATTAAAGATAGAAAAGTCACATTTTCGTTCCTAAATGAATTTCACTGACATATTTTTAAAATTCCATCATTATGCAACACCACATTTTAAGCATTCATATTTGACTACATGTTGTGATAGTAATTAAGTAAAATCATTATGCAATATATGTAATCTTTTTTAGAATACAGCTTTAAATGCTATGTTATTTAGAAAAACATACGAAATTTTTTTCTTTAGTTAGTGGTTATAAGTAGATTCTGAGATATATATGTTTTCATTTGCTACTGGTAAAACATTTTATTATTTTAATCATTTTAACTAGGTAAAATGATTGGATAAGTAAAGCAACACAGAGTGAAGGATATCTAATCATATAACATCTTTACTCAAAATGCCATCATTCAATTTTAATATCTGTATGGGTTTACAAAAGTTATATAAACCTCACCCTGTGTGCCACAGTTTCATCCTCTATAGATAAAGAATCTACTACATTAGATTGTTGTCGTGTTTAAATAAGACAATATTTTTTAAACTTTTAGAAAATTATCTTATGTTTAATGTAAAGAAGAATTGAATTTCAGCCGGGTGCAGTTGCTCACGCCTATAATTCCAGCACTTTGGGAAGCCAAGGCGGGCGGATCACAAGGTCAGGAGATCGAGACCATCCTGGCTAACACGGTGAAACCCGGTCTCTACTAAAAGTACAAAAAGTTAGCCGGGCATGGTGCCAGGCGCCTGTAGTCCCAGCTACTCAGGAGGCTGAGGCAGGAGAATGGTGTGAACACGGGAGGCGGAGCTTGCAGTGAGCCAAGATTGCGCCACTGCACTCCAGCTTGGGAGACAGAGGTAGAGACTCCGTCACAAAAAAAAAAAAAAAAAAGAAGCACTGAATTTCTTAAATCAGTAGCATTTCTATACACTAACAACAAACTATCCAAAGAAGATTAAGAAAACATTTCCATTTGCAATATCTACAATAAAATAAAGTAAAATATTATATTTAGGAATATGTTTAACTAAGGAGGTAAAAGATCTGTAAACCGAAAACTATATAATATTGACAAAAGAAGTTGAAGCTACAAATAAATGAAAGGATATCACATATTCTTGGTTTGAAATAATATTATTAAAATATTCATAATACCCAAAGTGATATAAAAATTCAATGCAATGCCTATGAACGCCCCCATGATGTTTTACACAAAATTAAAAAATAATCCTAAAATTCATTACAGAACCATAAAAGACCCCAAGTAGCCAAAGCAATCTTAGACAAAATAACAAATTTGGAGGCATCTCTCTACCTGGATTTCAAAAAATACTACAAAGCTATAGTAACCAAAGCAACATGGTATTGACTTAAAATCAGATACATGTGCTAACAGAACAATGCAGACAGACTAGAAATAAAATCCACACATGTACTGCCATTTGATTTTTGACCAAGATGTCAACAACACACAATGGGGAAAGGACATTCTCTTCAATAAATGATTCTAGGAAAGCTGGAAACCCACAAGCAGAAGACTGAAATTATATCCTTACTTCACATCATATACAGAAATCAATTCAACATGGATTAAAGATTAAATGTAAGTCCTGAAATCATAAAACATCTACAAGAAAACACAGGAGAAAAGTTCTATGACATTGATCTTGGCAATGATATTTTGGACATGACTCCAAAAACACAGGCAACAATTTTTTTTTTAAAAGGCAAATGGGATTAAGTCAAAATAAAAAGCTTTTTATTATTATTATTATTATTATTATTTATTATTATTATTATACTTTAAGTTTTAGGGTACATATGCACAATGTGCCAGTTAGTTGCATATGTATACATGTGCCATGCTGGTGTGCTGCACCCATTAACTCATCATTTAGCATTAGGTATATCTCCTAATGCTATCCCTCCCCCCTCCACCCCCCCCCCAAAAAAATTAAAACAATCAACCGAATGAAGAGACAAACTATGAAAGGTAAAATTTAAAAATTGCAAATTATATACTTGATAAGAGGTTAATATCCAAAATACATTAGGAAGTCAAACAACTCAGGAAAAAATAAAGAAAAAAACCTAAATTGATATTTCTCCAAAGAAGACATACAAATGGCCAACAGGTATATGACAAAATGCTCAACATCACTAATCCTCACAGAAAAGCAAATCCAAAACTACAATGAGATATCACTTCACACTATTGTAAATAAGGAAAAAATATAACTGTTGGTGAGGAAATGGAGAAAAGGGAACCACTGTACAGTATTGGTGAGAATGTAATTGATACCATCATTATGAAAAACAGGATGGAGATTCCTCCAAAAGTTAAAAATAGAAGTACCTTATGATCCAGCATTCTCACTTCTGTGTACAAATACAAAGGAAATGAAATCATTATTTCAAAGAGATATTTGTACTCCCATGTCCACTGCAGCTTTATTCACAATACCTAAAATGTGGAATCAACCTTGTGTTCATCAGTGGGTAAATGCATAATGAAAATGTGTCATATATATACAATCAGGTGTTATTCAGCATCAAATATAAGTAAATCTTGCCATTTGTGACAACATGGATGAAACTGGAGGACATTATGCTAAGAGAAATAAGCCAGACATAGAAAGATAAAAATATTGCATGACATCACTTATACGCGCAATCTAAAAAATCCAAATTCATATAAACAGAGAGCAGAATGATGGTACCAGGAGATAGGAGGGTAGGAAATGGGAGAGATGTTGAGGTCAAGTGGTATAAACTTTCATTCATAAGATGAATAAGTCCTGGAGACATAATTTTTAACATGTTGACTACAGTTAATTATAATGTATTTTATACTTGAAATTTGCTAAGAGAATAGACCTTAAGTTCTCAGTTGTTGTCATCGCATACGTACACACACACACACACACACACACACACACACACACACACAACCAAGATAACAATTTGAGGTGATGGGTATGATTTTTAGCTAGATTGTGGTAATCATTTCACAATATATAAATATATAAAATCACATTGTAGACCTTAAATATACTAATTTTTATGTTCAATCATACATCAATAAAGCTGAAAAACTTAAACACAATTTCATCATCAAAAAAAGAAACAAATTATAGAAGGATATTTCAACTGTCTCTCTCAGTAAGACTTGAACAACACTATCATCCAACTTGACACTATTGATGGTTTTAGAACGCGATAGCTAACAACAGCTGAACACATATTTCTTTTCAAATTCATAAAGAATATTTACCAAAATAGACCATACTCTGAGTGATAAAATTCTGAGGATCCTAGAAATAGAAGAAAAATTACTTAACCTGAAAAGGGAATCTATGAAAGACCTACATCTAACTTTACGCTTAATGGTGAAGATTGAATACTTTCCTGTTAAGATCAGGAAAAAGTCAAGAATTTCCACTATTCCCACTTCTATTATCATTGTCCTGGATGTATTGCCTAGTGCACTAAGTCAGAAAACATAAATGTAAGCCATTAAAAAGTGAAAAAATAAAACTTTCCTTATTATAAGACGACCGATGTGTAAGAAGAAAATCCAACAGAAGCTACAAAAAGCCACTGGAACTAAAAAGTGTTTTGCAAGTTTTCAGGATAAAAGATCACATACATCAAAACAGTCAAATAAAGCAATAAAGTAGAATGGAGAATCTAAAAGTGAAACACAAAATTACATGGTCAATTGATTTTTGATAAAGGTGTGAAGGGGATTCAGTGAAGAAAGCATAGCCTTTTCAACAAATGGTACTGACTATACGTATGCAAAAAAATGAATTTTGATCTATAACTCATAAGATATGCAAAAATAACCCAAAATCATTCACAGAGCTAAACATTAAACTTAAAACTATGAAATGTCTAGAAATAAGCATAGAAAAAATCTTTGTAAATTTAGGATAGGTAAAAATTTTATAGACACAACGCTAAAATAAAAGCCCATAAAAAATGAAATGGACTTCATCAAAATTAAGAATTTCTACTTTGAAAAACACTGTTAAGGTCAGCCACAAATGGGTGAGAAAATACATGCAAATCATACAGTCGACAACAGGATTGTTTCCAGAGCAGAAAAATAATGTTCAAAGCTTGATAATAAGAATACAAACAACCCAATTTTAAGACAGGCAAAACTTTGAAGAGACATTGAAACAATGAAGGAAAATGCATGACAAACACATGAGAAGATGCTTAACACTCTTTGTCATTAGGGAGATGCAAATTGAACCCACAGCGAGACATCCCTATGCACCTACAATAATGTCTAAAATTAAAATGTGTAACCACACCAGTATTGATGAAGATGTGGAGCAACTGAAACTCTTATACATTACCAGTGGGAAAGTAAAATGTTACAACTCATTTAAAACAATTTGAAACTTTCTTAAAAAGTTAAACTTATACCAACCAAATGAACTCATCATTCCATTCCTAGGTATTTACCCAAAATTTCAAAACATATGTTCCTATACAGACTTAAGTGTAAATGTTCATAGCAGCTCTATTTGTAACAGCCAAAGCTGAAAACAACACAACTGTCCATCAACGTGTGAGTGGATAAACAAATCATAGTATAGCCATCCAATGAAATAGTATAAATTTATAACAAGCAATGAACTATTGACATTCATAGAAATATGGATAACGGCCGGGCGCGGTGGCTCACGCCTGTAATCCCAGCACTTTGGGAGGCCGAGGCGGGCGGATCACGAGGTCAGGAGATCGAGACCATCCCGGCTAAAACGGTGAAACCCCGTCTCTACTAAAAATACAAAAAATTAGCTGGGCGTAGTGGCGGGCGCCTGTAGTCCCAGCTACTCGGGAGGCCGAGGCAGGAGAATGGCGTGAACCCGGGAGGCGGAGCTTGCAGTGAGCCGAGATCCCGCCACTGCACTCCAGCCTGGGCGACAGAGCGAGACTCCGTCTCAAAAAAAAAAAAAAAAAAAAAAAAAGAAATATGGATAAATCCCCAAATAAGTATGCTCCGTTAAAGAAACAAGGCCAGAAATGCAATGTAGATTGTATGATTCTGTTTATATAAGCCTGTATAAAATGCAAACTAATACAGTGACCAGAAAAAAACCACGTTTTCCTGGGTATGGAATTGCAGTCAGGAAGTGTGGGTGAGAAGAATTACAGAGAAGCAAGGGAGTTTGGGGGGAATGATGACTACTTTGTGTTTACAATTTTTAAGTATGTCAGTATTTATCAAAGTGTACAATTTAAATTTGTTTAAGTTAGTATATGCTGGTCATACAATAAATATTTTAAAATGCATGTGTAAATTATTTTTATTATTTCAGTTGGTTGTTTATGTTTATTATTAAAATGTTAACAGTTAGAGTTAAAAAGCAAGAACTTTACCATTATCATTATACCAGGCAGTATGATATAGGAGAAAACATAATGGGAAAAAAGAGTTTGGAGATTTGGGTTCTAGTTTTGCTATTGTAATGACTTACTTACCAACAGTCTAACCACTCAAGCCTTTAACTTCCTCAATTATAAAATGAAAGGGTTGTACAAGGTCACTGGTCCTCAATCTTGTTTGGAGTCATGTAACATTATATAGTATTAGTATTTTAGGCTGGATGCTTGAAAGGATTGAAGGATGCCCAATAGAATATTTTGCAGATCAACAATAATTAAAACATGATCCTAACCTTATACCAATACCTCAGAATGTTGTTTAAATGACTCACATTTAAGTTGCCATTTCCTTGGGGTTTTTACTGTACCATTCGCTCTTACATGATGCTCATATATACAAAAGGCAAAGTTCTCATATGTCCCAGAAAATGTATTTCCTTGGAATTGGCTTGACCTCACCATTATATTTACCACTTGCTGTCAGGATTTGTACCCTGTGTTACAATATACTACACAACCTACTTAAAGTTGTACCAATAATACTGTATGTAGACAGTATTAGAAAAATTATAATGTACATTGCTCAAAATTAGACAACATTCCTGTGAAGCAGTTAAGCCTACTTTGAAAGCATCATTTTTAAATCTGTAAAATGGGAAAAATCATATATATTATTCTGGCTTACTGTGTTAAAGAGATAATGACTATGTATTATGAGTCATAACTGACACACAATAAATAATGTTCACCTAGTGGGCACTCGTAATTTTATGTCTTTGGCCATTATTGAAAATACAAATATAATTCTGAATGATTGCAGTCAGTTCTTGCTTAGAGCTCCTTTTCCTGTTTCTAATGCAATTTAGTTTGAGGCAATACTTTATTTATTGGTTAAGTTACGGCAAACATTTCTAAGAACTCCAGCCATATTTTTATGCTTACAAAAATTTTGACAAATATAGTGTCTATTAAAGAAGGATGAGGACTTGCTTTGACATTACAGAAATAAAATTCTACCTCTTTTTTTCAGAAATAAATGAAAGAATGCATATTTTTAGTGAATAGAGACTGGTATTATTTTCTAAGTTAAAATTTTGAATTTTGGCCAAACTCAAGGAATTCTTTTTTCACAGGGGGTTAAAATTAAATTAAAAAAAAACATGTTTGTGTCTCTCTGCCAATATTATATGTTTTACGCCCTTTGGAAGTTTTTAATGATGATTTTTTTTGGATGATAAAAAAGAGAGAACTTTAGCATTCTGTGAAAATTCTCTCAAATTGAGTGTTCCACATCCAATTATAGCTTAGGATCCCAAGTATGGAGCTGTAGAATTTCCAATGAGAATGTATCTTTTTCTAGTCTCCTATTTATTTTCTTCTAGTCCATCCTGTGTTAAAAATTTTCACACCTGTTTTTATAAATGCCTTTTAGAAAAATTTTAATATACTTATGAGACATCCATCCTTTCAGTAGGGTTTGTTATATAATACAAAAAATATTTCATGTCTGTATAGGATAACTTATAGACTACAAGAAATCATTACCTCCTTATTAATATAATTACATTTAAAATTTTGTATCCTATTAAACTAATTTGCAGCTTTACTATTGTGAAAATATTCTAAAAGCAATTAACTCTTCTCTGTTACTAAACTTCCTCAGCTTTTTTGTTTTATTTTATTTTGTTTTGTTTTTTCTTCCAAGTATCTCTCATCAACTCTTAATCATACCTTTAAGAAAAAAAAATTATGAAACTTGAATCTAACTAAGTTGGGTTATTTTTGTTGTGGCTTTTTTGTTTGTTTCATTTGTCTTTTCCTATTTTTATGCCTTTCTTTCTATTACTCTCTTTTTGATCCGATATCGGTTACAATCGGCCTTCTGTATTCTTGGATTCCACATCCATGGATTCAACCAACCTCAGGCTGAAAATATTTTTTAAGAAATAATAAAAATAACAATACAACAATAAAAATATACAAATAGAAAACATGGTATGACAACTATTCACATAGCATTTACATTGATTTAGGTATTATAACTAATCTAGAGATTATCTAAATGGAAGATGTGCGTAGGTTATATGCAAATACAGTGATACCATTCTACATAAGGAGCTTGAGCATTTGCAGATTTTGATATCCACCTGGTTCCTAGAACCAGTTCTATCTGCTGATACTGAGGGACAACTATATTCTAACCTTCTTCATTCTCATTGGATTGTTGCAATACAGGAAGTGGAAGTTATCTTTTAACGAAAAACAAATCTTCAACAGAATATAAAAGCACTTGACACTGAAGAAAAAAATAATTCCAAAAAGAAAGTTTTCTTTGATAAGGAGTTTTCCTGACGGGATAATAATAGCCAAAGATTTTTGGAAAGTGAAGTTTCTTAAGTATGTTAGGTAGTCTCTTCAAAAATAATAGAAATTAAGTAATTAAAAACAAGGAAAGCAACAAATGGCTGTCAAATGCCCAGGCAGTGACATAGGTTGAGCTGATTTACTTCCACTCAGAAATGTGTGTGGTCCATGATTGCTACTCCTCAAACACCAAAATCCCTTCTCTTCACAGTGCCTTGTCTCTGGAACTACCTCTCTTCGGGCCTCCATCTGACCTCAGTTTGACTACTTCAACAGCCTTTTAAATGGACTCACTATTCTCAGCTGAAATCTTCTTCTTCGTTCATGTCCAGTGGTTATAATCCAGCCTAAAACATTTTAATGGCTTCCCTTCAGTAAGTGAATACCTGCTAACTTTTCACAATGAAACTCAGACATAATATATTTATGGAGCCTTGCATAAAACTTCTAGAAAGTAAAAATCCAAAAGGAACAGACCACTCTCTCTGTACAAAGCCACAAACTTAGAGGTGTTTGTTTTTTTGTTTACATGGCTTTCTCCCTCTGTTATACTGTAAGTTCCTCAAGAACAAAAACTGTATCTTACTTAAACTTTGTTTAAATAAGTGTTTAATTAAGTTTTTTAAAAATAAATAAATATTTCATTAAGTGTTTGTTTAAATAAGTGCTTGGCTCCAAATTAAGGATGCCACCAAGTAGGTAATTTGAAGTAATTATTTATAAAACCAATAAATAGCATAATGGTTAAGAAAGATTGGTGATTTTCTAAGAACTGGGATCCAATCCCAGTTCTGCCACTTTCTACTAGCAGGGTAATATTGGAAAAGTTATTCAGTCTCTGTAAGTCTCAATTTTATCTGAAAAATTCAGCTAGTAAAAACACCTAGTCAGGGTGGTTATTATGGAATTGTATTAGTCAATGATCTAAAGCCTTTAACATGATAACCACTTGAAAATAAGCACTCAGTAAATATTAAATAATAGTATTTCATTTGTATCTCCAAACCTGGTAAGATAATTGAATATAATTAAATTTCCATTCATGTTGGGTGGATGAGATAGCATCCCTCTTAGTATGGAAAAAAGTGACACAGTCTAGGTTCATGACAAACTCTTTCATATACACATAGTATTGATAATCCAGCTTTCCTTGGGCCCAAGTTTTCATGTAGTCATAGGTAAGTTTACATGTCACATTAGTGTGGTTTTACTATGATCATTCCATATCACTCATTTCCAAGGCATACTATACTTAAAGGATTTCTAAGATTTCATTTGTTCAGATAAGTTTTTGGGGTCAATTTTAAGCCTAGCTTCAATTTTCTATATCCCCTCTTTGTATTAATTCCCAATATTAAACCTGGATTCTTTCATTGATCACTGCATTATTTTTTTCCATAACATGTGTACACATTAATTTGAGTGTTCGTTCAAGTTACAGCACCTTAATTTGGAGGAAGAAAATTAAGAGAAGAGATGCTTTTCCATACTTGGTTGGATATCTCCCTGTCCCCTACCCCTGTTCTAGATGCACAAACCAGCCCACTCATGCTTCATCTAAGAAAACAGAAATAAGAGAATGTGGAAAGATTTTTTTCGAATATATCCAGATGCATACAGTACTTGGAGCAAAATTTAAATAATATAAAGTCTCACTCAAGGGGTAGTGGTCCCTTTTTACATATTAGTGTGTAGTAGTACATCAGTCTAGTTTAGATTAAAATTTTCTGAATGAAAAACTTAGTGAAGTGTTATTAACGAAGTATCATTTTAAAAAGAATGTAAGCCTCTGAAAATTATAACGTGTTTATAAACATTTTGTAATAATACATAATATATAAGGTGTTTAGAAACACACATATACACTTCTACATAACCCAGTTGCTTTTCAACATTTTTAAAACTTAAAGTTATAATCAACGTGATAAATAAAAAAATTCATACTTCATAGGTATTTTCACATTTGAAAAATTGAAAACTTCAAATAAAATATTGTGTAAATCCTAAAACATTTTTAACATTCGCTTTTTCAACTTAAAATAGGATTTGTGTTTTTCTAAAAAAGTAAAATTTGATAACAATAATTAAAATGTTCTCTAATAGTAATAACTTTGCAATGAAATGAGAGTATTTATTTGAAGAATTATCATTGATAATTAAGATTTTAAAACAAATTGAGTCTCTCTACACCGTTAATTCGAGGAATAAGGCAAAAACTACTTTCCCATTATATAAAATAAGGAATTATCGTATTAGCCCTGTATGCATCCCATTAAGGTGGTATGTTTACATATATATATAACACACACACACATATATATATATATGTATGTATCATTTAGGTAGATATATATTCATTTACCTAACAATATTTTGATATCATCTTCTAACAGAAATATGCCAATCCACTCTAAAAGTAATCACCTAAATAACTGTGTCATAGGTAAGTACAATATAGAGAATGGAGAATGAATTATAAAAGCTAAACAAAAGCTAACTGATTTAATAGGGAAACGACTGTAAAAGAAACCAAGGAAATGAGTAATGGCAAATAATTTTAAAAAATGAATAGATAGAGAATTTTTTTATTTTTAACTTTTGTGAGTACATAGTAGGTGTATGTATGTATGGGGTACATGAGATGTTTTGATAAAGGCATACAATGTGAAATAAGCATATTTTGTGGTATCTAAAAATCAAAACAATTGAAGTCATGGACGTAGAGATTAGAAGCAGAATGCTGAAAAGGAATTGCAAAAGGAAAAAATGTACAGACTAAATATAGAAAAAGAAAAATAGTTTTAACTCTCTGTACAAACTCTGAAAGGCAGTGAAAATCTACCACTGTGGGATGACTATAGTGAACATTAATATATTATATAGTTTCAAATAGCTAGTGAGTGTATATTGAATGCTCCCAACACAAGTAAATTATAAATGTTTGAGATGTTGGATATGCTAAGCATCCTGATCTGATTACTGTAACATATATATAGTGTAGTAAAATTAACTGTCCATTATATATAGTGTAATTAAAAGTAATTGCAAAAACTGCAATTACTTTTGCACCTACTCAACATATCTATAAATATAAACATTGGTATGTACCCCCCAAATATGTGCAATTATTATATGTCAATTTAAAATATGTATATTATTATTAAATATAAAAAGGGGGCTGTGAGACTCTCAGCTTCTGCCTGTATATGATCATTATTTTCTTTATGTTTTCTACTCCCCAGTAGTTGTAAATAAATGAAATTTACAATTTTGTTTGTTTATTACCACATCTATAAGTCAGGATTTATGCAAACATGTTAGATGCTTTTCACATTGGTGGAAATGGGTAGAAAATTGAACTGACCTCTGTATTAACATCTCACAATCTCATTTATTCTAATGGCCCCTAATTTAATAGCAAGACTAAATACAAGAACATGTCAAGCAGGATTTTCAAACAAATGAGATGATGTTGCTTTATGAACTGCAAATAAACATTTAATTGCACAATATTAAAAGGAAAAATACAATTAGAGGAATGTAACCTCTTCTTCAATGAAAATTTTGAGCAAACTACAAAGAAAGTGCCAACATCATCTACAATTCTACTAGTTTTTTATTGCTACTGGTATATAATTGTGAATTATAGCTCTATATAAATAATTTGTAATGAGTTCCATAATATCAATAAAAAGCAAATTAAGCAATCCGGTGAAATAATTCATATCAGAAATCTGCCATTTTTCAGTTTTGTCATATATGTAAGCCCATTTCCAAATAGTGTCTAATGAATTCAATTATGAATGTTAATTACATAACATTTTCTTGAGTCTGTACTTGTTCTCTCTGCCTGAATTTTTTTTTTTAATCTCACTCTCTATTTTTTGCCTGTGAGATATTCCTAGTTATCTTTTAAAACTCGGCCCAGGAATCTCAACTTTTATGAATCACTTGCTTTGATATCTGTATTAGTCTATTCTCACACTGCTATAAACACATACCTGAAACTGAGTAATTTATGAAGAGATTTAATTGACTCAGAGTTCCACAGGCTATACAGGAAGCATGGCTGGGTGGCCTCAGGAAACTTTCAGTTATGGTGGAAGGCGAAGGGGAAGCTGGCACATCTTCACATGGCAGAGCAAGAGAGAGAGAGTGAAGAGGGAAACGCTACACACTTTTAAACAACCAGATCTCCTGAGAACTTATTCACTGTCACAAGAACACCAAGGGGGAAATCTGCCCCCGTGATCCAATCACCTCCCACCAGGTCCTTCCCCTAACATCGGGAATAACAATTCAACACGAGATTTGGGTGGGGACACAGAGCCAAACCTCTCATACTATCTTATGAGAATTAGACATTTTTCTGTATAATTGCTATCTTTTATAAATCCTTTCTTAATTATTCTTTTTAACATTTATGTGCTTATATTTCTAGCTCCACTAATAGACTGTAAGCTGCTTGAGATTAATGAACTTGTCTTTTTTGTCTTTGATTCTCTAAATGCTGGGATATGCTATTTTATGGAGTTGAACTGAAGTCATGTATTACCTTTTTTTAAGGATTTTTGAAAGTCTTAAAACTCACTCGAAATATTAGCAGGCGTTATATTATTTTGCCATCAGAAGAAAATAATTAACATATATTGGCCTAATACTTCCAGTCTACTCTAAAGTGGGTAGAGCAAAAAGTTAATATACCTACTCAAAATCCTTCTGGTATGGAAGACTAGAGCTTTATTTCTAACATTAAAGAGAACAGTATTTCTTTTAACTGAACTGAGATGGTGTGAAGTCTTTATTTGAATTGGGGTTAGGACAGGAAAAGAACGGTAGTAAAAATCCTGTTAGAATACTGTGGGGTTGAGTTTTTACTAAGAGAAAGGGCAAGATGAAAGCAGTTTTAACCAGAGCTGTGCTATTTCCACTATCTTTCTCATTCTTTTGGTTTTTGCTGTGACACACTTGATTCTTAATTTACTCATCACAGATTATAACATACATGATAGAATAGGAAGGAATATTGGAAATGAGAGGAAAATTACATGCTCTACAATTTAGAAAAGGGTATTTTAAGAATGTTTGAGAAGAATAGGGTAGGATTGAGTCTCTGAAAGTGACTTAGCATATTAAAAGGGAGGGAAAATATAGTCATTTCAATGGAAGAGAAGTAGAGAAAAAGAGCAAATGAATAAAAAAAAATGTTTAAAAGAAAAGGGAAAAAAGGAAGCAGAGAGATGGGAAGATAAGATTCTCAAGATAGGGAATGGTGACAGCAAAGTCCATAGACATCAATGAATCTAACTTCAGTATCCCACTTACTACCACACAAGAAATATAGGCAATTGGGAGTTAAATACCTATTAAAATAGTAGCAGCAGTAGGCTTAAATCCCAATATTCTTGACCTTTTAATACAAGATTCTCTACACAAAAAAAAGCTGTGAGAAAACACCGTAAGAAGATAGAACATCAGTACAGAAGTGAATAAACAGTGCCCTTCAGTTTATTTTTGTAAATCACTGTTGACAATTTCAGTGAACTGGATTTGATACCTCAGGATTGAATATACAGATTTATCTGAAACTCTTGACTTCACTGACATAAGAATTGAGGCTCACTGTTTTTAAACTTCTCAGAGACAGTGGAGTTTTGAGTTTATTTTTTAAATGTTTTCCCAAAAGTTGTCTGAATGATGAAAAGCAGGGCCTAATTTAGTTAAATTGTTATCATAATAAATATGGTGGTTCAAAAAATGTTAGTCAAAACTCTGTGATGGTAGACCTATAGGAGGAGTGGTTTTATAATTAATGGCACATATTAGATACAAGTGATTTTACAGGCAAGAGGCCTTAAAGAAAATTCCCAATAGATAAGAGCAAAATCCTTCCTTTGAGAGGATAATTTACACCTCCTAGACTGATGATAATTTCTGAAACAGAAATTAAAAAACTGAATCTCCATCAGTTTTAAATAAAAATTTTACACTAACTAGTTACATATTTTAGGACTTTTAACCTTCAATTTAAAAGCATCATGCCATCAAAAAGCATGTAATGATAGCATTTCACAGTGATAGTCATAATATAAAACTTCAAGCTGTTTTTATATATTATTCAATGGTTTACTTTATAATGTTATACATTTATTTCTGTCTCTTATGTAAACAGGACTTTTGTGGAAATTGAAATAAATATCTACGCAAATTAGAATAAGGGACAATTGTGTCTTTCATAGTAAGAAAGCACCTATTTCTTCTGGTCACATGGCCCTCCATAGAAAAGGGAGCTTTCTCTGACATCACAATATAGTTGAGTAGCCACATGTACCTGTATAACAAGTCTCATTGGTTTTCTTGCTTGTTTTTAATATTTCAGTAATACAATGATATTGATTCAGAAGTGTCTTATAGAAAGGAATTTACTTTTTTTTTAAACCGATCACTTAACATTTTAACTCATAAAACTATTTTAGGAATGTGTTTTGGTTAGGGAGTCCATTAAATTACAAACTATAGGAAATCATCTCCATAAATAGCAAGCCATTTTTTTATCCTTAATCAATTCTGCTTGAGTTGTCAGAAAACAAAAACAACAAAAAATATTTTTAAATAGTGACCTTTATCACAAATTGAGAACACTAACTTTATTTTCAAGGCAAAATATATTTTTGCTTCCAGCAAAGAGCCACTGGAAAAAAATCAACAGCCACAAAAAAAAATCCTGTTTATACCATATGTTTAAGTGATAGCAAAGAATGAAAGGCAGTTAATTCTCTCCTACTATTTACTTATTTCCCCTCAATAGATAAGGATAGTCAGCAATCCTGCTTGAGTAGCATACAATTAAAGGTTAAGCTTTCTCCTTGGGAGACTGTGATGCGTAGGCAACTACAGTCTTTGACATCAGCCATAAGCACACTTCTATTTTAGCGATGTGAGAATAGTAAGTTGTAATTGTATAATGCTATTTATTGATCTTTCTAGAAAGAAACAAAAACATGTTTGCTTTGGGTTTTTAAATCCCTGGCCAGGTGCCCTAAAGGAAGTATATTGTGAATTAAAGAAGTACATTTCAAAACAATACCTATTACTATTTGAATACATAACAATTTTAAATATCTTGTAATGCTCCATGCATTCTATTTGTATAGAAATAGCTGTGACACAAAAAAATGTCAGCTGTCAAAGACGTAATACAACATCTCAGGAATAATTGGTGGTATGATTTTAAAAGCCCAGAAAGTTGCAGTAGACACTTCTAGGCTGATGAAGATCTCACTTAGGAAAACTACTTATGCATTTCCTGCTAACTGAGCAGAAAATGCTCTCCTTGGAAAAGAACCACTGTGTAAATGTCTTCTAATATATTAAAAAAGATGAAATGATTATTAGCACACAGGCTATATTTGTAACCATATGCCAGATTTAAACAACAACAACAACAAAACCCTGTAATCCACGATGATTTAAGAGATCAGGAAGAAAATGAAAGTATAATTAGGGTAAGTTTAGGTTTTATTTATTAAAAAAAGGCATTTTATTAGCAATTCTCATATAAAATCCACAATTATACAGAAAGTAGCTATATTATTATCTATACTGAAATTATCTGAGTTCTTATGAGAAAGATATCGAGAAAGCATATTGAAGGGTTTGTCATTTCAAGTTTCTTAGAGTTTTTGGCTAGAAAAAAATGGCAAACACAACACGTCCTCAGTTAACATTGTCAATAGGTTCTTAGAAACTGTGACTTAAGCAAAACAACGTATAAAAATACCATGCTTTTTCTCAACATTATAAGAAAATGATGTTGAGCAAAATGATGTTATTCAAGGACCTGCTGTATGTCCTTTTGCTTAATGTCACAGTTTCCAAGAACCTATCAATGATGTTAACTAAGGACTTACCATGTAACATTCCTACGATAAAAGTTGACAAGTTTAATGGGTATACTTGATGTTTCATAAGTATACCTGATAAAATATTTTACTTTAAACACTTATTCTTTCATTACTCAGTTAAAAAACACATATAAGAAAGAAAGTTATATAAATATATGATTTATATACTATTTATATAAAACTTTAAAAATTAAAACAATAGACAGAAATTTATGGAAAAATAAATATGTGGTAAAATAGATACATATGAGGAAGAAGGGAGGAAAATAGGTTAGCGTTATATATATGAAGCTTCAAATGTCTTTTATGTAATTTTTTTCTAAAGAGATCTAAAAATGTCAAAATAGTAATAACAATAAACCTAATTAGATTGCATTTTCCCCCACATTATTCTCTACTGTTTTTAAATATTATATGTCTTTTGAAAAAGAAAAACAGTGAGGTAAATGCTCAATTTTACTAAATCCAGTAAAAAACTTTCAGGAGATATATTTCCAATTCAAAGAGTTTAGACTTTCAAAATGAGTCCTGAGTTAAATGCCTTCATCAAAAATATAGGAAGATCACAAATCTACAACCTAATGCCACAATTCTAACAGTTCTATATGTTATAACTATATTTACACTAAAAGTGTGAGCAAGACAGAAAGGAAAACAACAGCAGTAAGTGTAAAAATTATTTGAGACAAAAATTCTATCAGTATCAGAAATAACAATTGTAAGAGTCAGTTCCCTTCCATTACAGATGGATAGGTTTTATTTCATCACCCAAAGTTCTGTGTGGAACATTTATTCAAATATCTAGAATCGTGTACATGAAATTTCGGAAGGGAGAAGTAAAGAGAGGCTGGATAATCTTTCTGAAGAACTGAAGCATTGTAGGGTTCACTGAATTCCCTCTGTAAATTTAACTAATGAGTATTTAACTAGCATACTTGTTTACACCAGTGCTTCTTGTCTCTGGAAGAATATCTGCTGACCCCATTATCTCGATCACACAGTATTTGCCTTCTCAATATCTGTGTCACTGTATCACATCACATATACATTGAGTGACTTTTCTGGTTTGGGCTATTTTTGTTTATTTGTTTGTTCAAATTATTATAAGATGGTCAGCACTTTCTGGGCCCTGAAGCATATATTAGTCAGAGTTCTCCAGAGAAACAGAACCAAAAAGTTGTGTGTGTATATATATATATATATATATAGTGAGATTTATTTTAAGGAATGGGCTCATGCAGTTGCGGAGGCTGGAAGTCCAGAGTGCAGGGCAGGCCAGCAGGCTGGAGACCCAGGAAAGAGTGACAGTTTGAATCCAAAGGCAGGCTGCTGGCAGAATTCTCTCTTCTTCCATGGAGGTCAGATTTCTTCTACTAAAACCTCCAACTGACTGGATGAGACTCACCCATACTATAGAGGGTCATCTGCTTTACTGTAAGTCTACTTATAAATGCTAATCTCATCTATACCTTCACAGAAACATCTAGAGAAATGCTTTATTAAACACTTGGGTATCTTGACATAGCCAGGCTTGATACATGAAATTAGCCATCACAAGTAAATACATATTTCAATTACAACAGAATAAAATTTTGGGTAGACAAGATGTATGTATACACATTTTTAGGCACAGAAAACTCAAAGTTTAAAGAAAGGTAATAGAAAGGAAAGGAGAGAATATACTAATTGACATAGGTAATCAACTGAAACCTAAGACTCTGGAAAGCAACATAATAAGACGTTTGTATTTCTTTACTCATGCAGTAGTACTTTTCACTCCAAAGTTGTCCAACTAAATATTGAAGGTAGATTGCAAACAAAGTGGTTATGGATGGTTTGCATATTGCCAGACATTTTTCACTATATTAATTATGTTACGCTAGTATATAATACACTTCAGGATGTTAAGGTCTTAGTGGATATATCATGTGGACTTTGGCATATGTATTTGTATATTAAATTATTTATAACAATTATATGACTTACATATTTGAATATTGATTTATTTAAAACACGTTTCCATTTTTATACTTGCATCACAATGATCTTCATACTTCTTACAACCTATAAATTTTAAGTTACTGTTTTACCTCTTTTGCTATGAGTTAAAAATAGTGTACTGTATTAAATTAAGTAATGTATGCATGATGACAATTTTTTAAATACAAAATGTTTCAAAGATAACTTTTCATCAGGCATTTGCTTAAAAAATAATGATACTGAAATAAAAAGTGCTTCAGTTCTAAAACCAAGTTTGAGACCATAGGACTTAAACCAACTTGCATTCATCTCCTGTTGTGGGATCATTACCTGCTCAGAGCATGGAAGAATGAAGTCTCTACCTACATTCTTTAAGGACATTTTATTTATATTTCTGCCGTAACCCTTATCACATGGACTTTTTTTCTTAGATATTTTCCGAATAGATTTTGAACTCTGACACCTTTAAATTTCCAAAACACTGGACACAGCAGTTTTTACATGTAGCAACTTCTTAATAAATGTTGGGTGAGTGAATAGAGCAATAAGAAAAATGACAATTATCTTTATCTGCTACTACCCATGTTCCATAAACAAGTAAAAATTAAGATTGCTATATGAAACCCAGAAGTGATTTAATCTAGAATTTTAAATTTGTTGTTTGTTCCTGTCACGAACCTATTATAAAGGGAATTTTAACAAACAAATGAAACAGAATACAAAACAAACACAAAAAATGGTGGAGCCTGGCACCCTAGGCCACCCCTTGTGAGGTTGCTTCTCAAGGGACTCCATGTGCCACTGTGACTCCTAAAAGCAGTTTAAAATTTACCATTAAAGACTAATCCCTAAATTGTGCAGATAAGGTTCCTGAGGATGAAAATATTTATATGAAATGACAAAGGTCACAGACTTAAATATTTATATGAAATCGCCAAGGTCACAGACTTAATTAAGTGGCTGAACCCAGGCCTAGAACTAGGATCATCTGATTCACAGTCTCTTTTTGTTCTCACCGTGCCTATCATAGAGACTAATTATTTTTGCAAAATTTAGCTTCCCTATTTATTTTTGGAATAAAATCAAAGAAAATTTAAGGTACAAAACATTTCATTCTTATTTTAGAATAAAAAAGACATGACCATTTTTCAGCCAGGAGAACTTTTCAGCATAGTTCAAACGTATCAGTTGTGTTGAAAGAAAAGTCCTTCATGCTATTCTAAATGCACAATTCATGACTGATTTAATCACTTCCCTTTATGTCATAAACTCTTACTGAAAAATAACTTCACTTATTCTAGGTGCTGAAATTATTTGCAAAAAAATTTACAATGGCAGAAATTATTTTTCATTTCAAAGCACTGAAAATTTGTAGTAGAGAAATTTCTTTAAGGGGGAAGGTGCAAGAGTGCTACACAAATCCTTGCAAACAGACAGGCATAGATTCATCACAATTACATTCTGAAGACACTTTCTCTTTGTTCTCTGCTTGTGATGCTTTCGTGCCTTTTCTCTTGGAGGCAAATGCCACATTTTTAAAAAAAAGGTCTCAGCTGAAGATTGTTATCAATCTTGAATTCACAAGCTACACATATAATGTTCCTGTCCCATAGGTGATGCTGTACAATTACTTGTGGAATGCAACTTTAAATAAATTATAATGAGTAAGTTATTGCTAAATTATACCCTTCCTCAGGATGAGACATCCCTTAATCAAGTCAGCTAAATACTTAAGTCCGACTTGTGTATGTAGATGAAGCCTACATCTTTCGATGCGCATAAAAGAAATATATTTTTCTTCTCATATATTTATTCATTCATTCTATACATATTTACTCTGTATAATTACTATGCAAGGTACTAAGCCAAATGACTCAGAGATAAACTTTGCCTTCAAGTTCCTTACAATCTAACACATAAACATAAATAATTCAATGGAAAATGTGAAAAGTGCTATAAAAACAGCATAACTAATGTATCACAGGAATTCTTTGATGAGAAGACAGTGATTTTTCATATGGGTAAGGAAAAGGCACAGAGTTTAAGCCAATTGAACTTGGTTTTAAAGAACAGTCAAAAACTGAGGTGATAGAGGATAGTAAAAATAGAGAACAAAAAATTACAAACAGAAAAAATAAAGTGACCAAAAAAGTGACCTCAAGGTAAGAAAACCTAGAATATCTAGAAACTATAACAAGAAGCTCATGCCAGTTGTAAGGAATGTCGAAAATAAGCCTAGAAGATAAGTTGGAGACAGAAATATACACATACACATATAAATAAATGTGTGTGAGAGTGTGTGTAAAGAGAAAGATAAATATTTAAGAATTTTAGGCACAAATATTTCATAACATACCTGTTATTTAAGAAGAAAAATGCACGTGTGTCTAAGGTACACAAGAAAGGGATACAGGAAGCAGGATGACTAGTAGTTGTTATCATAACATAGTTAAGTTGTTATCATAGCATGCCAGGAAGAAGTAAGGAGAAATGGAACCTGTGTTCCCTACTAATATACAGTAGCTTGTATATTGCTGTAATTTACATATTGCTTATTATTCCAAACATAAGGCATAACTGTCATATCATATAGATCCCAAAAGTGATACATAGATTAGATCTTTTTAGATTAGATCTTTTGTTTTAAAGCCACACCTCACACATATCTTTTCTTTTTCATTATGTAGGTTGGTATTGAGACCTTTTCCCCTGAGTTCTGCATCCTCTACACTACCTAGTGTATTCAGTGAACACCAACACTGTAGGTTTGAATTTAGTAGAAAAAGAGACTTCCTAATCACCAAACTTGACTAGTCTCTCACGTATCAAGTCTTACTTTTAAAATAGATTTTAAACTTATATATAAACCATTCAATATTTTTTTCCGTGCAGAATTGGCTGTTATTGTCAAATTTCTCATGGGAGTGCATTTTCCCATTCTACTAGAGCCACAAGATCCTAAAGGAATAATGGAAGAAAATTTAGTTCCTAATATATATTGTATAATAGTTCATATAAGCCTCTTATGTGAGTTTATTTTACATTATTTATAATTTTCCCCTACTCATTTCCAAAAATGCTAGAGGGATTTTTTTTTTTCTGGGAAAGCTGCCAAAAAAGTTCATTTTATTGCTTCCATTGAGAAATACCTTTAGCACTTTAGAGAGAAAGCTTTTCACTGAAATATAATTTAGCAACTTGGAAAGATGGGAGAAAGTTCTAAATTTTTGACATATCGTCCACCAACTGATATAACCCGTTTCCAAATATATGAAATAAGCAACCTACATAAAAGATACAATCTTTGCAAACTGCTCATTTAAAAAATGCAACAAGTGGCAGCAGTTTGTCTTTTGTAAAAGAGAAAAATCACTGTAATTAATCAATCAAATCGCAGGCAGCAATAAGATCATACAATTTACTATTGCATTCTAGTATCAAAGTGTGACCTAAACTTTATTAGGCACTGCCCCTCCACAAGCATAACAAAATTCATCTCAGGTGTATTCTTGAGTTACATGAGGATGCATTTAGAAACTCTTCCCCTCTCTCGTGCCTCACTGCCCACCACTCCGGTACTGCTTTCCAAACCCTACCTAGACACAATGGTCTCCCTCATTTCCTTGAGCACATGCTCCTCTCCATTTCAGAGCATTCTTCCATGTTTCTATTCCTGCTCACCAGAACGCTCTTCCTGTGCGGTTTCCCTCTCGCTCACACCTCATTCTTCTGACATCTGCTCCAGTACCACTTCCTCAAGGACCTCTCCCCAGGCCCAACACTAGGTTCACGTTATATCCTCTCCTGATGGTGTACTTCTCCTTCTCACATTCTTCCCAGTTGTAATTCACATAATTGATACTCTGGTGGGTCGTTTGGGGTATACAGAGTATTAGAAAATAAGATTTTCTCTGAATATAAGAATCCTGGAATATAAGTTTCACAAGAACACGGAAATGTCTCTGTTGTCCACCCGGCACTTAGTAACTGAGTAGTATTTTGGCCACAAACCTCAAAAAATACTTGCTCAATAGATGCATTAAAACATTACTCCAAATGAAAAATAAATAAAATTAGAAGTATCCTTTTTATTTCACATAAATTCTAGTGCCTTTCAAAGATATGGGCTCTATTAGGATTTTTCTATTTTAAAGTAGTTTTAATGAATAGAAATTTACAGCGGTGCTATATAAAAGTAGCACTAATTTTCATTCCATAATCATGAAGTTGTAAAACATTTACAGCTAGACATACAGTAGAATCTTAACCAAGTAGGAAAACAGTTTAAAATCAACCTCTTAGAAATAATTTTTTTTAAATACTCTAGTTTGGTTTTATCTGAGTTTTTGGGACAACATAATATGTGAATAATCGGAAAGTAATCCAGAGACATTGCAGGGGTGCAGATTTTTCTTTTTTTCTTTTGAGACGGAGTCTCGCTCTGTCCCCCAGGCTGGAGTGCAGTGGTGCGATCTCGGCTCAATGCAAGCTCTGCCTCCTGGGTTCGCGCCATTCTCCTGCCTCAGCCTCCAGAATAGCTGGGACTACAGGCGCCTGCCAACACGCCCGGCTAATATTTTGTATTTTTGGTAGAGGCGGGGTTTCACCGTGTTAGCCAGGATGGTCTGGATCTCCTGACCTCGTGATCTGCCGATCTCGGCCTCCCAAAGTGCTGGGATTACAGGCGTGAGCCACCAGGGATGCAGATTTGATGGGAATGTTCCATGCCATATAGCAACCACTGTGTTTGTATATACATAGCATTCACCTAACATTTTTCAGAGGTTAATAAATGTATTAATTTTAGTTATATTTATGCTTCATTTGATCAATAAAACTGTATTTATATGGAGAATCACAAGATTTTTAAAGTTGAAAAAATTTATATAAGGAAACTTGTAAGATACTAGCCAAATTTATCCTTATGCATAATGCTCATTTTCATATAGTTAAGTACTTTTCTCTGTATTCTTTGCTGATCAGGTAATGAATAATTAATAGAATTTGAAGCCAGGTGTCCAATAAGTGGAAAAAACATACAAATCTAATTATTTTGTCATTGTTTTAATGTGGGAAAGAAAAACACATTTATGACTTAGACACTCAAATTTTGTAAGTAATAGCAGAGAAAACAATGTGTCATTATTATTTATATTTCTCTAAAAAAGTAAATTATCTATATGTCATGTACTATTATGACATAGTACTGTTTATTTAAACACTAAGAGGCATTTTTGGAGAAATCTAATTATGTTTTGGCTGTGGCCAAAGTGTGCATGCTGTGGTTTAGTGCACACATATTTGCAATCATATTCAGTTTTGTAATATTGTCTTTGAGCCATAATCACTATTTTGATTTCAGTAAGAAAGAAACAGTCAGTGGTCTTAAGTTTTTAAGGACAGTATAATTTAGCTTTATTAAGTTATACATTATATTTAAAAAATCTCAAACATAGCTTAAATGTTTTCTACTTGTAAAAAAAATCAATCAATATTTGAGAGGAAAATTAAAAGGTAAGCCGTAAAATTTAATTTCTGGATGATAAAAGCCTTTCACAAACACTAGGTAACTCTCTTCAACAATGTGCACTCCTAGGTAATATTACGCATCTTTTTATGTCCTCTAATATAGTACATGGAAATTTTAAAACATAAATGAAAGAAATCCATGTCTTTACAAATAACTTTATATGCATAAGAGTAACACAACGAATATGTTTCAACATGTACATTAAAAATCATTTGGTGCAATAAATATACATCGGTTTTTGATACTTATGTATGCATATATGTATATGAATACATATACATATGTGAATATACATACGTGAGGCCATACTCTGTATGAACCCATTCTCTGCTAATGACTGAGCAAGATAGCATTAGCAAGACAGGTCCATTTCTAAAAGATGTAATACTCCTCTGACAGGCAACTTTGGCACAATGACTCCCTGTTGGCCTGGCCAAAATATTTTAAAAACTATGCTTCATCCAAGATTCTGTCAGTCCAACTCTCCTTCCTTCTCTCCCCTCCTTTCCCAGGGATCAGAACTGCTTCAATGTTTGATGGTTCTTCCTGCCTCCTTTATTTCCCTCTCCTTCTTCTTTCACAGGCATTTTCCCAATAAATCTCTTGCATGATAAATTCTGACATGGTATTTGCTCTTTAGAGGACATGATTTAATGCATGTATACACCCCCACACACACACCCACACAAATGCCACATATTCATAAGTAGAAAATCATACATAAGTTACATGGATACATAGACTAACAAATGCATAAGTGTATGCACACACACACACACACACACACCTGTCAGTCTATCTCTATGTATCATATATAGAAACATACATATATATATATGGTAAATATATATATATGGTAAAAAAATATATATGGTAAATATATATATATGGTAAATATATATATATGGTAAACATATATTATATATACATGTATCATATATATTTGCTATCTACTCATGAACGGGCAGGTAACAATTCACAAACTATTATTAAGTACTTCCAAATACAAGTTCTCACAAATTGTTATTATATGTATTAGTCTCACTTTCATGCTTAAAATAGCACAGAAAACTTCATAAAAAACTTACATTAAAAACCTAAAGAGGGCCGGGCACCTTGGCTCACCCCTGTATTCCCAGCAATTTGAGAGGCCAAAGTGGGTGGATCACCTGAGGTCAGGAGTTCAAGACCAGCCTGGCCAGTCATGGCCAACATGGTGAAACCCCATCTCTACTAAGAATACAAAAATCAGCAGGGTGCAGTGGCATGCCTGTAATCCCAGCTACTCAGGAGGCTGAGGCAGGAGAATTGCTTGAACTTAGGAGGCAGAGGTTACAGTGAGCCAAGATCGTGCCACTGCACTCCAGCCTGTGTGACCAAGTGAGACTCTGTCTAAAAAAAAAAAAAAAAATCTAAACAGATTTACCCTTGCTAAATTTGCTAACCAAAGCATGACAGAAAGGCAATGTTGACATTAATAATAGAGAACATTTCCATATATACTATAAAGAACATTTATGTGGCATAATATTATTTTTATTAAAACTTTCACTGTTAGGGCATCTGTGTTCAATAGCCAAGTATATAATGGTAGCTTTCCACAATGATGTATGCCATGACACTGCTTTACCTGTCTTTTACACTTATACATCCTTGGCTTTTTGCAATCCTGAATGGATAATAAATTAAATGATGAATGAATGGATGACTATGTAGTGATTCAACAATGCCAGCAGAGTCTCACATTCATAGAAAAACATGGTTTACAGTGGAGAAAGCCAAATCACAAGACAGCCTAATCCTGGATTTGTTTTAGTGCTTATCTGGCTATATTACAAACATCTTATCTTGTGACCCTCCCAAAGTCTAATTTTCTAGGCTCAATTTGAGATGAATACTTAGGCTCTTTTGATATTTGGACAATACAGGATTATTTTGTGAACATACCCTTCTGCCTAATTTTCCTGAATTATTGCTCAATGTTTTCTTAATCTGAATGTTCCAAATTGTCAATGTGTCATAATTTAAGCCTGAAACCAAAGATGAACTCCACAATGAAGCACTCATGCATATCATTGGTGAAATGGGTTTCCTTTCTTTGTAGCACTCAAAGGATTTGCTTCTACTTCTATTATGAGTTTATCAAATTCTATATATTAAAATAATTTATTACTTCTACCCTGAGCACATTCATTAAAATGTGGGAAGTGATTGTACCTCATTGAAATTCTATTGTATGCGTGTATCTGCATGTTGTAAGTGATTTATATACTATAAAAAAATGTAAATGCCTAGTGGTCAAATAATTTTTCTTACTCTGTTTTATCTTTCAAAATATTGGCTTCAGCTATTCTGTCTTCATTCCCTTAGATGAATCCTTTCTAAATTGAGCGTGATTCTAGACAAATTATGATGATTTAATTAATATCACTAATATTTAGAATTACCGGCTTTCATGTTCCACCCAGAATTCATCAGTCTGATTCAAACACGTATTCTCCAATTATCTGTGGGCACTGTACTCAGAACCAATGTACATTCTTTCTTTGTCAGCTCCACGGTCAGGCTAGTCTCTTCAGTTCAAGTTCTACTCTCTAATTCCCATAAATAAGAACTTATAATTAAAGGCCTGGGGCAGAACCTAAGTGAATTATGGTGCTTGACAACTGCAAAAGTGCATTGCATTGAAAGGTGCTGAATATATTTGTTAAATAACATTTCTTTATGAGTGAACTGAATAGAAACAACTATTTGTTTTGTATGGTCACTATAATAAATTTAAATTAAATTTATTTTAATTTAAATTTATTTAAATATTATTTTATTTTTATTTTATTTGAATATTTATTTAAACTTATTTAAAAATTAAATTTATTTAAATTTATTAAAATAAATATTTAAAAATTAAATTAAATTAAAATTTATTTTTAAATTTAAATTTATTAACACACTTTTACACATAAAAACTTGATTGACACAGATCAACATAAAGAAAGAGAGAGATTTAAAGGAGGTTATTCAGAAAAGTACCATTAAGAATATTGAAAAGTGATGATATCATATGAGTAGAAAAATCAAGTGAAAAAAAATAGTCTCATTGTGCTAAAACTATGCCATCAAAGCCCACCTCATAACAAATACAATTTAAAATAAAACACAAAGTGAAGCTGAAAAAACAGAGAATGGAGCACAACAAAGAACAGGAGAATACAACTCAATGAGCACTGTAAATCAATGAACTTACACTGGTCTATCTCTGAAGATGAATGAGATAAAAATGGACCTTTTTTGCCTTCATTGATTTTTACTGTTCATTGAGTTGGATTTCTCTGTTCCTTCGAGGTCTTATCATTTGATTTCTACTTCTTTTTCAACCCCTAAGCAAGACTTTTGGCAATCCTAAAGGCATTATGAGGACATGCTTAATGCCTCACTGCATTCTACTTCAGGAAATTCATCTATTCATTCTACTATTATAAATTCTGCACCTATTATACATCAGGCACAAGATAGGTACACCAGAAGATGAAAATATGACATTATTATAATATCACACTATTATTGATAAAATTTTTGTTTTTAATGACTAAAACTACTTTATTTTCCAACATGATCAGAGCTAAACTTTTGCTTCTAAGGAACAGTGACCAAACTTAGCAAAGTTGAAAACAAAGCTGAAATTACTTTTCATATCTGACATATTTGATACCCATGATAGAATATTAAAACGCTGAATCAAGATGAATTATGTTTTACATGCTCTTACTGTGAGCCAAGATCCTAATTTTCTTTTAATCTAATTGCTTTCTCTGAAATTCAAAGCCAGCTTTGATGGAATTGCTTTGATAAAGGTGCTTTTCCAGAAGGAGCCAACTTTTCTCACTGACTAAATTACTCATACTAACCTCTGGTGCTCTAAAGCCATGACTTAAAAATTAAATATAATGGTAGGAAAGAGTTAATGAAGCTTCTAGAGATTCCTGACTGTTCTGAAATATAAATGAATTTGGCTTAAGTGTTATATATATATATATATATATATATATATATATATCAGTAAGAAAAGATAGACATATTTGATTATATTACAAGTAAAAACTTGAGTATAATTAGTAAAATTAAGAATAAATATGAATATTTTTGCAGTTATGACAGAGTTATTATTATATGAAGAGTGTATACAAATGATCACAAAATACTGAAGTTCCTATTTTCCAAAAAGACATATTTTAGAGGAGAAAGGCAAATGTATTTCCCACACATGGAAAAAAATTTTCAACTCATCTCCACTAATACAATAATTTGTATTTCACATGGATCTGACCATGAAATATTATTTTCAACTATCATATTTTATACAAACTATAAAAGATGAGCTCCAAATTCAAGGAAAAAGTAAGGCTGTGTACTGGATGTTTCCCTATCTTGCTGGCAGCACTGTAAGTTATGGAAATCAACTTTGCATTACAAAACAAAAACTTAAAAATGTTGAGTCTCTTTAATAATCCCACTTCTGAAAAATTATCCTAAGGAAATAATCCAAATATGGTAAAACCTTAGTGACATGGAGATCTAAAGCAGTCCTATATGTAGGAGCAAAACCCAAGAGTAAGCCATATATAATGTATAATTATGGGAGAAATAGCTAACTAAATCATGTTACCCAATAAAATATTGCACGATAATTTCTAGTTATATTTATGAGAAATAGGTAATAATGTAGAAAATATCATAATAAAATATTAGTTGTGGAGAGGGATTATCTATTACATGAGCAATATGACTATAATAATCTTTATAAATAAATATCAAGGATGAAAACCTGAGGCTCCAGAATACTGGAAGTGATTGTGAGGAATAATGAGATTGAAATTGATTTTTATGTATTAGTTCCTTTAAAACATGTTCCTGTTAATTAAAATGTTTTAATAAAATATTTAAATGTGTTTATGCTTTTTACCCAAATATATCTTACATAATTTTTACCTCATTTATTTGATTTTAATAATTGAAATTTTTGGAATTTTTCATGAATTCCTAAAAATAAAATTTTCATAAATTCCATAAAATTAAATTATTAAAATCAAATAAATGTAGTAAAAAATGTCTCTTCCATTTATGTAAATGTTTATTTTTTTAGATGTTGATCTTAATATGGATTTAGTACTTGTGTACTATTTTCCTAACTGGGCTAGTTACTTAATTTGTATATAATTTGGTAGGGATGTGATGAAAAAATTTACTTTAAAAATCAATACTACTCGGGCTGGGTATGGTGGCTCATGCCTGTAATTCCAGCACTTTGGGAGGCCGAAGTAGGAGGATCACTTGAGGTTAGGAGTTCAAGACCAGCCTGGCCAAGATAGTGAAACCCCATCTCTACTAAAAGTTAGATGGGCATGGTGGCATGTACCTATAGTCCCGGCTATTCAGGAGGCTGAGACAGGAGAATCACTTGAACCCGAGAGGTAGAGGTTGCAGTGAGCCGAGATGGTACCACTGCACTCCAGCCTAGGCAGCCTGGGTGACAGAGTGAGACTGTCTCAAAATACATACATACATACATACATACATACATACATACATACATACATACATAAAATAAAAATCAATACTACTACTCTACAGAAAAGCTTTACCCAAGCATGTCTTTGCACTGGTCATTTCATGTAAGTTTACTTGATCATGAGGTCTTATGTTAGAAATGCCTTATTATTTGACTAGTTTTCAACATAAGTGATATGTTTGTTTTTGTTTATTTGTTTAAAGCACTTCAGCTAGTCAGCAAGGGTTCAGAATATTTGAATTTTTGATCCTCCTCCACCCCAAATTTCTGCTTTGAAATTCTAACCCATAAGGTGATGGTATTAGGAGGTGGGGCCTTTGGAAGGTTATTAGGTCACAAGGGCAGAGCCCTCATCACTGGAATTAGTCCTTTTATAAAAGAGAACTCAGAATGTTAGCTTGCTTCTTCCAACATGAGCAGACACAGCTAGAAGGTACTGTCTGTGAACCAAAGGACAAGCCCTCACCAGATTTGGAATCTGCAAGCACTGTGATTTTGGACTTCTCAGCATCCAAAACTGTGAAAAATAAATTTCTGTTGTTTATAAGCTATCGAGTTTATGATATTTTGTTCTAGCAGCCCAAGTGGACTAAGATAAGAAGTTAAGTACTGTAAGAGCCAGCTATTCATAAAGCAAAGATAGGAAAATAATAGAACTGTGTGGGCTGGTGGAAAAGGCAACTACTACTTGGTTTGGGAAATAAATCTAAAGGGACTCTAGTGTGACTCAGAGCACTTGACACCCTTCAGCTGTTTTTCACTTACATAGATGCACACAATCTGCCCTTAGAAGGTCTGCCAATAGTTTGCCTTGGGAGGTGTTACCATAGCCATTTCTGAAGATAATTTTATCTTCCTTTTCCTCTAAGGGGTCTTAACCCTTTATTTCATTGGACTAGTTTTTTTCACTTATAGAAGGAAACCATATAAACAAAGCAAATCTATTTTTGAGGTCTTGAGGTAATGTATTATCACATAAATACAAACTGGAATATATTTTATCTAAAGTTATTTTTGCAAACCCAATGCATTACTATCTGCAATCTTATTTATGGTTGTTTTAAAATATTAAAGTAATATCACAGTTATAAAAGTACTTTTAAAGAGGATAAAAATACATAGAATCATAGGATTCTGAGTAAGGTAATCTAATTTAGTGTTTCTGAACCCTTGCTGACTAGCTGAAGTGCTTTAAACAAACAAAATCATCAGGCTTTATAGCAGATCTGTTGGACAGAATCCAAAAAGGGATGGTGCAGGAGCAAATCAAGGAATTGGTGTTACTTCGAAGGTTATCAGGTAAAACTTGAGAACTTCTGCTGTTAATCATTCATGCAGAGCAGATATTCTTTGCATGATATTCTCTGCATTTCACCCAAGTGGTCCACCAATCTATGCAAGGTGTTGCAATAGAACAGGCTGTAGACTTAGAAGTAACTCTATGTAAGTTCTCCATGAGTCAAGTAAATATACAAAATGTAGTGGAGCTAGAGCCACTGGATAGTAACTAAGGAGACCTCAAAAACAAGTTCCAACAGTGTGTACAGCTTGGGGTTCACTCTAATGGAGGCTAGCTAGCTTGGATTCAGATTGAATCTCCCATATCAGAGAACTTTACAATAGGTCCTCTAAAGAATCCATGAATGAGCCTCATAGGAGAGCCACACAGAAGTCTGCAAAGCAGAGAAAGCAAATAAATGATAGTATTAGTAAATGTTGAATAAAGATACACTTAACACTTTCTGCTCTCTCTTCTCTGACCTAACATACTGGAGCAACTATATATCAAAGAGAAAGAAGAGACATTTATCTCAGAGTCAGACCTTGTGGTAGTTCTTTGCCACTCCAATTTGTTAGGGTCTCAATTTGGGTACCAAGAAGAGGTAAGAACATACAATTTAAATCAAATATGGGATAAAGCCAGGTGTGGAGGCTCAGGCCTGTAATCCCAGCACTTTGGGAAGTTGAGGTGGCCTGATCACTTGAGGTCAGGAGTTCGAGATCATCCTGGCCAACATAGTGAAACCCCGTCTCTACTAAAAATACAAAAATTAGACAGGGCATGGTGACGTAACCCTGTAGTCCCAGCTACTCCAGAGCTTGAGGCATGAGAATCGCTTGAACCCGGGAAGCAGAGGTTGCAGTGAGCCGAAATCAGTGCCACTGCACTCCAGCCTGGGCTACAGAGGGAGACTCTGTCTCAAAACAAACAAACAAAAAATATGAGATAAGAGTTTTATACTGATTTTAGTAACAAAACATTAGAAAAAATTAAAAATGTGTTCACAGTGACATTAAAGCATGGGAAATGATTAACAATAGCAGAGCTAAAAATGTTAATTGGAAAAAGTTTAGAATTACGCACTAACCAAGGTAAGATTATTCAATAAATAAATTACAACATAGAAATGCAGCCTACCTAAGATAGAATTTGTTATTTGGGGAACCACACCACGATGGGGCTAGTCTGTATCATAATCCCTTAGACCTCTTCCCATGGCTTGTTCCTAAATCAGCTCTCTCCTATGCTCTACTTGTTTCATGGGTTATTGGATTCAAGGGTAGCACCTTACATTTATCCCTGCCATATTTATTGTTGGATTTCCACCATTGCTCCTTTTGAATACCAAAACTGTCATTTTACATATCACTTTTTAAAACACTCTTTCAGCTGTATACAACATGAAAGTTTAATAAAATCTCCTTCAATATCTCCATGGCTGAAAAAGATTTCAAACAAATAATATAAACTTCAGGCAAAAGCCTTGAACCTTCACTGGAAGGCATCATCCTTCACTTTTATATGCTGATATGGTACTTGAAGGGTGAAGGCAAAGATTGTCAGGAATGATGCATCTCAATTGTTTAGCAGCACGACATTGTGATTATAAAACTAATTCTAGGGCAAGAGAGTCTGGGACTCAAATTACCCATCTGCTACTTGCTAGACTAATTTTACTCATCAATACAAGGGCAAAAATCAAATCATCTACTTTGTAGCACTGTTAACAAGATCAAATGAGTTAAGAGATGTGAAATAATTTGAAGAGTATCTAGCACATAATAAGCCTTATATAAATATTAAATATTTTTACTAGATGATGAGTGATCATGACTCGCTAAAGTCCAGATACATGATGTCTGCTACAGTTGCCTAATACCCAAAATCCTTTCACAAACAAACAAACAAATATGGCATACGTGACAAAACTTGTGATTTGTTAAGCCAATAATTTCTCATAGATTTGTCTGAAAAAAAAGTCTTCACTTTTTGAGAAAATATTTACCTATTTGTTTAAATACCAAAAGTGATACCAAAAATGTATCAATCCTCCAAAAATATGTAAGGGCAAAAATAAACATCTAAGTAAACCCACTGTCCACATGTGCTAAATTTTTAGGATATATTCTGGCATTTGTCATTTATTATGTTGCAGCAGAGACTTCTGTACGGATATTTAAAAAGAGAAGACAAACGCCCCCTTTTTACATTATATCCATAGTACGAAATGTCAGGCCTCTGAGCCCAAGCCAAGCCATTGCAACCCCTGTGACTTGCACCTATACTCCCAGATGGCCTAAAGTAACTGAAGAATCACAAAAGAAGTGAATATGCCCTGCCCCACCTTAACTGATGACATTCCACCACAAAAGAAGTGTAAATGGCCAGTCCTTGCCTTAAGTGATGACATTACCTTGTGAAAGTCCTTTTCCTGGCTCATCCTGGCGCCAAAAGCACCCCCACTGAGCACCTTGTGACCCCCACTCCTGCCCGCCAGAGAACAAACCCCCTTTGACTGTAATTTTCGTTTACCTACCCAAATCCTATAAAACGGCCCCACCCTTATCTCCCTTCACTGACTCTCTTTACGGACTCAGCCTGCCTGCACCCAGGTGAAATAAGCAGATGTGTCGCTCACACAAAGCCTGTTTGGTGGTCTCTTCACACAGACGCGCATGAATTTTGGTGCCATGACTCGGATCGGGGGACCTCCCTTGGGAGATCAATCCCCTGTCCTCCTGTTCTTTGCTCCGTGAGAAAGATCCACCTATGACCTCAGGTCCTCAGACTGACCAGCCCAAGGAACATCTCACCAATTTTAAATCAGTTAAGCGGCCTCTTCTGACTCTCTTCTCCAATCTCTCTCACTGTCCCTCAACCACTTTCTCCTTTCCACTCTTCAATCTCTCCCATCTCTTAATTTCAATTCCTTCCATTTTCTGGGAGAGACAAAGGAGATACATTTTATCTGTGGACCCAAAACTCTGGTGCCGGTCACAGACTGGAAAGGCAGCCTTCCCTTGGTGTTTAATCATTGCAGGGACGCCTCTCTGATTATTCAACCCACGTTTCAAAGGTGTCATACCACGCAGGGACGCCTGCCTTGGTCCTTCACCCTTAGCGGCAAGTCCTGCTTTTCTGGGGAAGGGGCAAGTACCCCAACCCCTTCTCTCCTTGTCTCTACCCCTTCTCAGCTTTTCCGGGCACAGGGCAAGTACTCCAACCCCTTCTCCTTCACTCTTAGCGGCAAGTCCCGCTTTTCTAGAGGAGAGGCAAGTACCCCAACCTCGTATCTCTGTGCCCCAATCACTTATTTCCACGTCCCGACCTCTTATCTCTGTGCCCCAACCCCTTTTCCCACTTTTCTGGAAGGTAAGAACCCCCAAACCCCTTCCCTCCGTTTCTCTACTCTCTCTTTTCTCTAGGCTTCCTTCCTTCACTATGGGCAACCTTCCACCCTCCATTCCTCCTTCTACTCCCTTGGCCTGTGTTCTCAAAAACTTAAAACCAATTCAACTCACACCTGACCTAAAACCTAAATGCCTTATTTTCTTCTGCAATGCCACTTGACCCCAATACAAACTCCACAGTAGTTCCAAATAGCCAGAAAATGGCACTTTGAATTTTTCCATCCTGCAAGATCTAAATAATTCTTGTCATAAAATAGGCAAACGGTCTGAGGTGCCTGACGTCCAGGCATTCTTTTACACATCAGTCCCTTCCTAGTCTCTGTGCCCAGTGCAACTCGTCCCAAATCTTCCTTCTTTCCCTCCTGCCTGTCCCCTCAGTACCAACCCCAAGCCTCGCTGAGTCTTTCTAATCTTCCTTTTCTACAGACCCATCTGACCTCTCCCTTCCTCCCCAGGCTGCTCCTCGCCAGGCCGAGCTAGGTCCCAATTCTTCCTCAGCCTCCGCTCCTCCACCCTATAATCTTTTTATCACCTCCCCTCCTCACACCTGGTCCGGCTTACAGTTTCCTTCCATGACTAGCCCTCCCCCTCCTGCCCAACAATTTACTCTTAAAAAGGTGGCTGGAGCTAAAGGCATAGTCAAGGTTAATGCTCCTTTTTCTTTATCCCAAATCAGATAGCGTTTAGGCTCTTTTTCATCAAATATAAAAATCCAGCCCAGTTCATGACTTGTTTGCCAGCAACCGAGACACTTTACAGCCCTAGACCCTAAAAGGTCAAAAGGCCATCTTATTCTCAATATACATTTTATTACCCAATCTGCTCCCAACATTAAATAAAACTCCAACAATTAAATTCCGGCCCTCAAACCCCACAACAGGATTTAATTAACCTCGCCTTCAAGGTGTACAATAATAGAAAAAAGTTGCAATTCCTTGCCTCCACTGTGAGACAAACCCCAGCCACATCTCCAGCACACAAGAACTTCCAAACGCCTGAACCGCAGCGGCCAGGCGTTCCTCCAGAACCTCCTCCCCAAGGAGCTTGCTACACTTGCCGGAAATCTGGCCACCGGGCCAAGGAATGCCCGCAGCCCGGAATTCCTCCTAAGCCGTGTCCCATCTGTGTAGGACCCCACTGAAAATCGGACTGTTCAACTCACCTGGGAGCCACTCTCAGAGCCCCTGGAACTCTGGCGCAAGGCTGTCTGACTCCTTCCCAGATCTTCTCGGCTTAGCGGCTGAAAACTAACACCGCCCGATCGCCTCGGAAGCCCCCTAGACCATCACGGACGCCAAGCTTCAGGTAACTCTCACAGTGGAAGGTAAGCCCGTCCCCTTCTTAATCAATATGGAGGCACCCACTCCACATTACCTTCTTTTCAAGGGCCTGTTTCCCTTGCCTCCATAACTGTTGTGGGTATTGACGGCCAGGCTTCTAAACCTCTTACAACTCCCCAACTCTGGTGCCAACTTAGACAATACTCTTTTAAGCACTCCTTTTTAGTTATCCCCACCTGCCCAGTTCCCTTATTAGGCTGAGACACTTTAACTAAATTATCTGCTTCCCTGACTATTCCTGGACTACAGCTGTATCTCATTGCCTCCCTTCTTCCCAATCCAAAGCCTCCTTTGCGTCCTCCTCTTGTATCCCCCCACCTTAACCCACAAGTATAAGATACCTCTACTCCCTCCTTGGCGACCGATCATGCACCCCTTACCATCTCATTAAAACCTAATCACCCTTACCCCACTCAATGCCAATATCCCATCCCTCAGCACGCTTTAAAAAGATTAAAGCCTGTTATCACTCGCCTGCTACAGCATGGCCTTTCAAAGCCTATAAACTCTCCTTACAATTCCCCCATTTTACCTGTCCTAAAACCAGACGAGCCTTACAAGTTAGCTCAGGATCTGCGCCTTATCAACAAAATTGTTTTGCCTATCCACCCCGTGGTGCCAAACCCATATACTCTCCTATCCTCAATACCTGCCTCTACTATCCATTATTCTGTTCTATATCTCAAACATGCTTTCTTTACTATTCCTTTGCCCCTTAATCCCAGCCTCTCTTCGCTTTCACTTGGACTGACCCTGACACCCATCAAGCTCCACAAATTACCTAGGCTGTACTGCTGCAAAGCTTCACAGACAGCCCCCATTACTTCAATCAAGCCCAAATTTCTTCCTCATCTGTTACCTATCTCGGCATAATTCTCATAAAAACACACGTGCTCTCCCTGCCAATCTTGTCCGACCGATCTCTCAAACCCAAACACCTTCTATAAAACAACAACTCCTTTCCTTCCTAGGCATGGTTAGTGCGGTCAGAATTCTTACACAAGAGCCAGGACCGCACCCTGTAGCCTTTCTGTCCAAACAACTTGACCTTACTGTTTTAGCCTAGCCCTCATGTCTGCATGCAGCGGCTGCCGCTGCTTTAATACTTTTAGAGGCCCTCAAAATCACAAACTATGCTCAACTCACTCTCTACAGTTCTCATAACTTCCAAAATCTATTTTCTTCCTCATACCTGATTCATATACTTTCTGCTTCCCGGCTCCTTCAGCTATACTCACTCTTTATTGAGTCTCCCACAATTACCGTTGTTCCTGGCCCAGACTTCAGCCTCCCACATTATTCCTGATACCACACTTGACCCCCATAACTGTATCTCTCTGATCCACCTGACATTCACCCCATTTCCCCAAATTTCCTTCTTTCCTGTTCCTCACCCTGATCACGCTTGATTTATTGATGGCGGTTCCACCAGGCCTAATCACCACACACCAGCAAAGGCAGGTTATGCTATAGTACAAGCCACTAGCCCGCCTCTCAGAACCTCCATTTCCTTTCCATCGTGGAAATCTATCCTCAAGGAAATAACTTCTCAGTGTTCCATCTGCTATTCTACTACTCCTCAGGGATTATTCAGGCCCCCTCCCTTCCCTACACATCAAGCTCGAGGATTTGCCCCACCCAGGACTGGCAAATTAGCTTTACTCAACATGCCCTGAGTCAGATAACTGAAATACCTCTTAGTCTAGGTAGACACTTTCACTGGATAGGTAGAGGCCTTTCCTACAGGGTCTGAGAAGGCCACCGCAGTCATTTCTTCCCTTCTGTCAGACATAATTCCTCAGTTTAGCCTTCCCACCTCAATACAGTCTGATAATAGACCAGCCTTTATTAGTCAAATCAGCCAAGCAGTTTTTCAGGCTCTTAGTATTCAGTGAAACCTTTATATCCCTTAAGGTCCTCCGTCTTCAAGAAAAGTAGAACGGACTAAAGGTCTTTTAAAAACACACCTCACCAAGCTCAGCCACCAACTTAAAAAGGACTGGACAATACTTTTACCACTTTCGTTTCTCAGAATTCAGGCCTGTCCTCGGAATGCTACAGGGTACAGCCCATTTAAGCTCCTGTACAGATGCTCCTTTTTATTAGGCCCCAGTCTCATTTGACACCAGACCAACTTAGACTGTGCCCCCAAAAAACTTGTCATCCCTACTATCTTCTGTCTAGTCATACTCCTATTCACCGTTCTCAACTACTCATACATGCCCTGCTCTTGTTTACACTGCCGGTTTACACTGTTTCTCCAAGCCATCACAGCTGATATCTCCTGGTGCTATCCCCAAACTGCCACTCTTAACTCTTGAAGTAAATAAATAATCTTTGCTGGCAGGACTATGCTGAATCTCCTTAGGCACTCTCTCATCAGATGTCCTGAGTCATCCCAATTCTTAAACCTTTTATGCCTGTTTTTCTCCTTCTGTTATTCCATTTAGTTTTTCAATTCGCACAAAACCGTATCCAGGCCATCACCAATCATTCTATACGACAAATGTTTCTTCTTACATCCCCACAATATCACCCCTTACCACAAGACCTCCCTTCAGCTTAATCTCTCCCACTCTAGGTTCCCACGCCGCCCCTAATCCCGCTTGAAGCAGCCCTGAGAAACATCGCCCATTCTCTCTCCATACCACCCCCTAAAAATTTTCACCACCCCAACACTTTAACATTATTTTGTTTTATTTTTCTTATTAATATAAGAAGGCGGGAATGTCAGGCCTCTGAGCCCAAGCCAAGCCATTGCAACCCCTGTGACTTGCACATATACGCCCAGATGGCCTGAAGTAACTGAAGAATCACAAAAGAAGTGAATATGCCCTGCCCCACCTTAACTGATGATATTCCACCACAAAAGAAGTGTAAATGGCCGGTCCTTGCCTTAAGTGATGACATTACCTTGTGAAAGTCCTTTTCCTGGCTCATCCTGGCTCAAAAAGCACCCCCACTGAGCAACTTGCAACCCCCACTCCTGCCCGCCAGAGAACAAGCCCCCTTTGACTGTAATTTTCCTTTACCTACCCAAATCCTGTAAAACGGCCCCACCCTTATCTCCCTTCGCTGACTCTCTTTTCGGACTCAGCCCACCTGCCCCCAGGTGAAATAAACAGCCATGTTGCTCACACAAATCCTGTTTGGTGGTCTCTTCACAGGGACGCGCATGAAATGCAAGACACCAGTGTTGGAGAGAAGGCAGGATATACTGTAACTATCTCACAGTGCTGGCAATAATCTAGAAAACCAAATGTTGATATTGTTTCATGGGATATTACATGAATAGATGCACAGGGGACATTGGTAAAAGAATAAGCATTCATGTATCTACAGATTTTCTTCTTGAGGGTTATATCAGATCAAAGAAGAGAATTCAAAAATACAACTTTCTCCTAGAACGACTGGGATTCTTCAGTTAAAAGAAGACACTAGTTAAATAGATTCCATGGTAGCCAACGAAGAGTTGGGAAAAACAGCACGAACATGTGCCCATGGCTAAAATACTAGTATAGAAACACACACACACACACACACACACACACACAGAAGGTAAACTGCCAAATGAATATTATTTTATAAAAATTAATAGAATCCTTACAGTATAATGCCAATATTGACTTTAGATGCCTCATCACATATACACTATTAAATAAAAACAAAGAAAATGACAAGAAAATTGGTGTTAGATATTAAGATAAAGGACAGGGATTATGGGAGCACAAAAAAAAATATGCGATAAGATGATAATCAATCATTGCATCTGAGTATATGTGCTCCGAGATTCCTGGCAGCCTATTTTTCTTTTAATGACAAATACATCATACTGTCCCTCTGCTTTCTTTTTTTAAAGTAAGCTTTGTGTGACATAGTTGGTTTAGTGTTTAGAAGCACAAACCAGCAGATAAATTGTATCCTGATATTAAGAGGAAAAAAAAAGGTGAGATATTCATGAAATTTATTGGCATACATTTTTATGTTATTTCTGGCATATGTACGTATAAAATAACTACAATACCAACGATGGAAAGTCATAAATAGTCTTAGGAAATACTTAACAGCCTTAAATACTCTTGGAGATTATTTATTGTGGCACACTAAGCCCAGCTAAAGTCCAATGAATAAAATCAGAAAAATGAACTTTAAAAAATGCATGTAATCTTGGCTCAAGAAAAAAATGCTAGTAAAAAGAGTTCAAAGAAAGACTGTATGGATCTGAAACTAATACTGAGATATAAATCATTTTAATAAGCAACAAAACATCTAAGCAATTTTGTTTTCTTTAGGTATTAATTCTTAAAGTGGTGGTTTACCTTGAGCCGAAGCAATCCAATTTATTGGAGCCTCAATATCCACAAGTTGCCATGTAGATGTAATATAGAAAGAAGGAAGTATTAAATGTGTTTTCATGTCTGAGTAATACCTTCTGTATATTGATTTTGTTAGTGAAACCTTTGAGGTTAAACAGAAAAGGACATATGAATAATCAAATATCAGCATATTAAAGACGTTGATTCCAGAACCACTCAAACATTTAATAATAGTCCTTTAAGCAGTCAGCTGGGCCCAGTAGCTCACGCCTGTAATCCCAGCACTTTGGAAGGCCAAGGCAGGCAGATCACTTGAGGCCAGGAGTTTGAGACCAGCCTGGGGAACAAGGCAAAACCCTGTCTACAAAAATTAGCTGGGCTATTTGAGGCATGCCTGTAATCCCAGCTTCATGGGAGGCCAAGACATGAGAATCGCTTGAACCTGGGTGGGGGAGGTTGCAATGAGCCAAAATTGTGCCACTGCACTCCAGGCTGGGCTACAGGGCGAGAATCTGTCTCAAAACAAAAACTAAAAATAAGCATTCCTAGAGAAATATAAATGAATCATTTTTTTTCCAATCATTCGTCGGTGAAATGCTAGTCATAGCCCAAGTTCAGTGCACCGAATATTTATTTTGAATTTAAAGAATCTTACAATTTAAAGTAAAATTTCTCTTTAATTGGTATAAGACCCACATGATTCAAATACGAACATCTTAGTCAATTATAGACACATAACTTATAAATTAACTAGAATCTGTCCTTCAAAATTTACTCACATTTTAAGAATTTATACATTTGTTTGAGTTGTTTAAAAATTGTTATAGCCAAATCTACAGCTAAATCAAACTTGCTAATATATTTTATACTATTGTATTTAGTACATAAAGCATTCATTACCTATTATTTCATATGATAAACATTATACACATAATTTTAAATAAATATGCCACTTATTGGCCCAACAGACATTATTCTTATATCATAAATAAATCATTCCTTAATAAATTATGAAAGTATCAGGCATTTAGGAGATTGTTTTCCTTTGTCTTCAATATTAAATGTATGTAGAAATAAGTCTAATATGTCTAATACATATTTAACACACATTTATAGCTACATATATACATTCACACACACAAGCAACCTAAGAGAGATTCCATAACCATTATGATGCAATGTATTATTCTTAATAATCTTCTAGTAGATAGCACTTGTTCAAGACTATCTGTACACTTCACAGTTAGAAAAACAAAATGATACTTATGTCAGTTAAACAAATTCAAAAATGTAAACAAACCAAAAAAAAGCTGAGAAAATTTAAATAGTAGTAGCATTTCATAAATAAAATAAAATCAGATGCCCAGAAATGTGTACTGAAATCTTTAGCCCTATAATAACAAATTGATTATAATTTAATATTGAAAATGGGAAAATGTCAAGACTTTTTTTATTGCCACATCTTTAGTATTTTGAGAAATTTTTAATTCATTGATATAGGATTCTCTGAATTTTTGGTAAGGTCAACATTTAGTGTTTTCATATTTACCTAGTTAAATGTTTGTTGCCCACACACAAAAGGTGTTTTAAATAATGATGGTTACCTGTACACATTGCCATTATTTATCCTCCAAGAATTATTAATTTAAAGGAAACTGAGAATTTAATAGAATAATTTTGCGGTACACTTTCATAGCATGTAGGATCCACCATTAGTAATATTCCTTTCACTATGAAGACATGGAATATAATCCTTAATTCCCATTAGTCAACAAAACTTCCTTGTGAAGTCTCATATGCCTGCTATTATCTTCTCACATGGCACACCAATTCCAGTCTCTAAAACTATACCAAACAATCTCAGATACAACAACAAAATCTATCATAAGGTCCAAAGGAAATGCAAGGATAAAAAGAACGTAGTCTGTCAAGCTACTCTGATAAAATCTCTCTATGCAATATTCCTGACAAATATATCCTATGTCTAGATACTTCCAGTGATGGAGAACAAACCACTTCTTGAGGCAGACAATTCCAGAATCAATCACAGAGAGTTCTTCCTCACAATGAGTTAGTCTTCCTCACTACACTTTCATCCATGGACCCTAGTACTCTTCTCTGCAATGGCATGGAAAACCTAAAGTACATTTTATATGAAAGCTCGGAAAGTTCTTGTAGAAAATAGTGAAAAGCTTTTCTTCTCTAGGCTCAACATGCTAGCACCTTCAATCAGTCATCGTATGTTGTGATTCACATAGTCTCACTCTGGTTTATTGTATTCCAGACAGGGTCTCATTCCAGACAGACTCAAGTAGGGTATGACATAAATGAAGAAGGGAACTATTATCTACTCTGTTCTAGACAGATGAATACTCATGACACTTGTAGCACATTCTTCCACTGTAAAAGGCACATCTATCTTCTTCACATCTCCCCCATCATCTCCATGGATACTGCTTCCAGTTAAGTTTGACCCTTTCTGTTTTGAATAGTTACATTTTACTATTTTCTGTCATAAACTCCTTCGATCACAAAGCTACACTCAGGTTGAAATAATTTACATACCCTATAAGGAAATTTGTGAAATGTCCCAAGGATCTTATCAACCCTGATAATGAAAACACAAATCCGGTTTGGTGGCCCAGGAACAGAAAGAAACCTCTAGGAAAACTGCAGATGGGGTGCCCACTTACATAGGGCTCAGTAAATATTAAAAATGAAGAGGTACATAATCCTGTGTAAATGAAACATAGAAGATATACTGCTATCATAAAGACATAATAATCTTGGATATAAATATGCATTTTCCTACTCTATTTAGCCTTCATAGTATAAAAGTAAGAATACTAACATTTGAATTGTTGAATTCCATTCCCATGTGATCAACGACAGCAAGTAATCTTCTATTTTTAAATATTCGAATTTTCTACAGCATTATAGGGATTAAGGGGTGCTAAATTTTCATATGAGCATTTTCTCACATATCCAGTAGGAAATACAGTTGACTTCAGAGAGACCTATCAAATTATATCTATCTATCTATATATTATATTAATTTCCCTTTTGGAAAAATTTGTATTATTAGAAAATGCTTTATTTAATTTGCTATTCATTTTTCAAATATATTAGAAGTTATTTAAACCACCAAAACTGATATATGTGAAAATTAAATAATATAAAATTACCCTATCTCTATTCTATTTAATTGACCTCCAAAGGAGGTCAGGATAGCTTCAAATTAAGCTGTTGTCCTTTCTAGGCTCTCTATTTTTGACCTAAATATATGACACCTATAATCTCATTTGGATTATCTTTTAAGTCCTGTGGTCTGACTTTAACTGACATTAGAATTTACCATAGGCGCAAGGAAAACAGCAGAATTCCGAATGCATTGTTAGGTTATGTTTAACGCCATTTAAGAGAACATTGTTTCAGAAATAAAAAAGCTACTTCAAATCCCAAATATACACATACTCCTTGATCCAGTCAGTGAGGAAATGCCTCTGTTACACTCTACAAACTTATAAAATTGCTTTGGCTGGACCATCTTTTGCTGTGTGGCCATCAGAGACTACACGCAAAAAAAACAGTCCATGAAAACCACTGTGGAATCGCCTGAAAGGATGTTGCTGAGAATAATTGTATTATGTCACACAGTGTCTGGAATAGCCGCTCCACTTGGAAAATTTCTACTCTGATATTACTACTGAAGAAAACTGAGAACAACGTATTATCTCAAAGAATAACTGGTTGTTTTAAATTTACGGACATCGTGAATTGTGTAACAATTTTGACGTGGGTTTATAGAAAACTGAAAGTTAAATCCATGATCCCACTGTGTAAAGTATATGATATGCATTATTGGCCTCATTCTAGGTTCTTCTTTTTTATTTATTCTTATTTCTGTTCTTGCTTGCTCTCTTTTAATTTTCATTAAATATGTGTATGTTATCTTTTAAGGAAGGTGACAAACTAATTACTGATTTGATAAATTAAAATATGATTTTAGGAAAGGTAGGTAGAGCAAGATGGCTGAATAGAACCCTTCAGTATTCATCCTCCCCACAGGAACACCTATCTACATAAGAAAGCACCTCCATAAGATACAAAAATCAGGTGATCAATCACAGTACCTGGTTGTAACATTATATTGAGGACAGAGGCACTGAAGGGGGTGGAAAGACAGTCTTGAATTGCTAATGCCACCCCTCCCCAACTCCCCAGCAGCAGGTGGGGAGAGAATCTGTGTGCTTGCAATGATTGTGGGACTTGGCATTGGAACTCAGTGTGTCTGTTCCAGCAGAAAGCAACACAGGGCAAAATTCAGCTGGCACCCACAGAGGAAGCACTTAGATGAGACCTAGCCAGAGGGGAATCATCCATCCCAGCAGTCGGAACCTAAGTTCTGGCAAGCACCGCCATTGCAGGCTAAAGCACTCTGGCAACCTACATAAACTTGAAAGGCGGTCTAGGCCGCAAGGACTGCAATTCCTGAGCACAGCTTAGTGCTGTGCTGGGCCCAGAGCCAGTGGACTTGAGGTGTACATGACATAGTGAGGCACTGCCTTGGGTGACTGAGGGAGTCCTTGTGTCACCCTCCCCCAACCCCATGCAGTACAGCTTGCAGCTCTGGGAGAGTCTCCTTCCTTCTACTTGAAGAGAGGATAGGGGAGAGTAAACAGGATTTCGTCTTGGAACTTGGATACCAGCTCAGCCACATTTGAATAGGACACCAGGCAGAGTCCAGAGGCCCCCATCCCAGGTCCCAGCGCCTGGATGATACTTCTAGACACACCCTGAACAAAAAGGAAAGCTGCTACTCCTAAGGGAAGGACCGTTTTTGGAAGGATTCATCACCAGCTGAATAAAGAGCCCTTGGGCTTTGAGTAAACATCAGCAGATGAAGGCAATACTCATTGCAGGCCTTGGGGGAGACCTAGTACCCTGCTGGCTTCAGGTGTGACCCAGCACATTCCCAGCTGCGGTGGCTATGGGGAAAGGCTCCTTCTGTTTGAGGAAAGAAGAGGGAAGAGTAAAGGGGACTTTATATTGAAGCTTGAGTAGCAGCTCAGCCACAGTTGTGTAGAGTACTAAGCAGGCTCATGGGGTTCCTGATTCCAGGCCTTAGCTACTGAATGGCATTTCTGGACTTGCACTGTGCCACAGGGGAGCCCACTTCAGTGAAGAGAGAGACTCAGGCCTGACAGTGTTTACTACAAGCTGACTGAAGAGCACTGGGCCTTGAGTGAACATCAGCAGTAGCCAAGTAGTACCCCACAGGCCTGGAGTAGTGGTGGCCATGAGGAAAGACTCCTCCTGCTTGAAGAAAGGAGAGGAAAGAGTGGGAAAGCCATTGTCTTTCAGGTTGGCTGTCAGTTCAGAAGCAGCAGAATAAAGCACCAAGTAGATTCCTAAGGTTTGTGACTCAGGCCTTGGTCCCCAAACGGCATTTCTGGACCCACCCTGGGCCAGCTGGAACTCCCTACCCTGAAGGAAAGGACACCAGCCTGCATGGATTCACCACCTGCTAACTAAAGAACCCTTGGGCCTTAAATGACCATCAGTAGTAGCCAGGCAGTGGTCGCCATGGGCCTTAGGAGAGACCCAATACTGTGTTGGCTTTAGGTATGACCCAGAGCAGTCCTAGTGGTGGTGGCCACAAAGATGCTTGTGTCACTCCTCCCCTAGCTCCAGGCAAATCAGCATGAAAAGAGAGACTCTGCTTGTTGAGGGGAAAGTAAGGGAAAAGAACAAGATTCCCCGCCTGGTAAACCAGGCAGTTCACCTGGATTTCATTCAAGACCACCAAAGTGGTATCTCTACAAGTGTGCAAGAGTCACAGCATTACTGGGCTTGGGGTTCCCCCAATGCAGACACAATTACAGTGATGACCAAAGACTTAGATTATAACATGCAATTCTATTTGACTATTTGGAAAGCCTTTTCCAGAAGAATGGGTACAAACAAGCATAAACTGTGAACACTACAATAAATACCTAACTCTTCAATGCCCAGAAATCAGTGAACATCCACGAGCATCAAGAGTAAAACATGACTTCACCAAATGAACTAAATAAGGCATCAGAAACCAATCTGGGGGAGACAGAGAATTCAAACTGGCTGTTTTGAGGAAGCTAAATGAAATTCAAGATAACATAGAGACGGAAAGTCTTTTTTTCTGGAAAGTCTTTCTTATTCATGTTTGAAGGATATTACACTGTTATTAAAAAAAAAAAAAAAGACACGTCAAACAATAAATAAATAAAACTACAGGCCAATATCCCTGTTGAACACTGATGCAAAAATCCTCAATAAAATACTAGTAAATTCAACAATATATTAAAAAATCATTTATCATGACCAAATGGGTTTATCCCAGAGATGCAAGGATGATTCAACATTTGCAAATCGATGTGATACATCATATAAACAGAATGAAGGGCAAAATCAATATGATCATTTCAATAGATGCCTAAAAAGTGTTTGATAAAATTCAACATCCCTTCATGACAAAAACCATCAAAAAACTGGGGATAGATAAAATATACTGCAATACAATACAAGCCATATATGACAAATCCACAGCTAGTATCAAATTGAATGAGAAAAATCTAAAGCCCTTCCTTTAAGATCTGGAATATGACAAGGATGCCCACTTTCACCACTTGTATTCAACATTGTACTGGAAGTGCTAGCTAGAGCAATCAGACAAGAGAAATATATAAAGGGTCATCCAAATTCTAAGGAATTAGTTAAATTATCCTCGTTTTCAGCTTATATGATCTCATATTTGGAAAAACCTAATGAGTCCACAAGAAAACTATTAGAACTGATAAACAAATTCAGTAAAGTTGCAAGACAAAAAAGTCAACATACAAAATTCAGCAGCATATGTATATACCAACAGCAAACAATCTGAAAAAGGAATCAAGAAAGTAATCCCATTTACAACAGCTACAAATAAAATAAAATAACAGAGAATAAACTTAACCAAAGAAGTGAAAGATCTGTACAAGGAAAACTGTAAAACATTGATGCAAGTAACTGAAGAAGACACAAAAAACGGAGATATTCAATGTTCATGGATTAGAAGTATCAATATTGTTTAAAAGTCCATACTACCCAAACTAATCCATATATTCAATGCAATCCCTATCAATATACCAATGACATTCATCAGAGAAATAGAAAAAATAATCCTGAAATGTATAGAGAATCACAAGACACAGGATAGCTAAAGCTATCCTAAGCAAAAAGAGAAAAACTTTAAAAATCACATCACCTGACTTTAAATAATACTACAGAGCTATTGTAACTGGAACAGCATGGTACTGGCATAAAAACAGACACATGGACCAATAGAACAGAATAGAGAACCAAGAACCAAAACAAATCCATACATCTACAGTGAACTCATTTTCAACAAAGATGCCAAAAATATACTTTGGAGAAAAGAAATTCTCTTCAATAAATGGTGCTGGGAAAACTAGATATTCATATGCAGAAAAATGAAACTACCCCTATCTCTCACCACATACAAAAATAAAACCAAAATGGATTGAAGGATTAAATCTAAGACCTCAACCTCTGAAATTACCACAAGAAAACATGGGGGAAACTTTCCACGACATTGGTCTGTGCAAAAATTTATTGAGTAATACCCCACAAGCACAGACAACCAAAGCAAGAATGAACAAATTTGATCACATCAAGTTAAAAAGCATCTGCACAGAAAAGGATACAATCAAAAAAGTGAAGAGACAACTCACACAATGGGAGAAAATATTTGCAAACTATCAATCTGACAAGAGATTAATAACCAGATATATAAGGAGTTCAGACAACTCTATAGGAAAAAATCTAATAATCTGATTTAAAAAACTAGGCAAAAGATCTGAATAGACATTTCTCAAAAGAAGATATACAAACAACAAACAGGTACATGAAAAGGTGCTCCATATCATTGATCATCAAGGAAATGCAAATCAACACTACAATGATCTATCATCTCCCTCCAATTAAAATGGCTTATATCCAAAAGACAGGCAATAATGAATGCTGGCGAGGGTGTGGAGAACACAGAATGCTTGTACACTTCTGCTGGGGACTAAATTACATTAGTACAGCCACTATAGAGAGCAATTTAGAGGTTCCTCATAAAACTAAAAATAGACTACCATATGATCTAGCAATCTCACTGCTGGATTCCTTTCCAAAAGAAAGGAAATTAGTATATCAAAGAGATATCTGCACTCTTATATTTATTGTAACACTATTCACAATAGCCAAGATTTGGAAGCAACCTAAGCTCTTCATCAACAGATGAAAGGACAAAGAAAATGCAGTACACATACAGAATGGGGTACTATTCGGGCATAAAAGAGAATTAAGTTCTTGTCATTTGCAATGACATGGATGGAATGAAAGGACATTACATTAAGTGAAATAAGCCAGGCGCAGAAAGACAAAGTTCACATGTTCTCACTCATGTGAGATCTAAAACTTAAAACAATTGAACTTATGAAGACAGAAAATAGAATATTTACAAGAGGCTGGGATATTGGATATTTGAATGAAATAATGGACACTGCATTTACCCTGATGTGCTTATTATGCATTGTAGGCTTGCATCGAAATATCTCATGCACCCCATCAATGTATACACCTTCATTCTCAGCAGATTAACACAAGAACAGAAAACCAAACACAGCATGTTCTCATTCATAAGTGGGAGTTGAACAATGAGAACATGGACACAGGAAGAGGAATATCACACACTGGGGCCTGTCGGGGGGTGGAGGTAAGGGAGGGATAGCATTAGAAGAAATAGCTAATGTATATGACGGGTTGATGGGTACAGCAAACCACCATGGCACATGTATACCTAAGTAACAAACCTGCACGTTCTGCACATGTATCCCAGAACTTAAAGTATAATTTAAAAAAAATGTTTGTGGAACATGTATATAAATAAATTCATAATGTTTTCAAAAAAATGTACACACCTACTGTGCATGCATAAAAATAAAAAATACTAGTTTAACTATCATGGAAGTGGCATAATAAAATAAACATTAAAAGATAGGAAATGTAGGTCTTAGCTTCACAAAATGTCTCTGACATCCATGTGTTTAATTTCTAAAATATGGTAAATAAAATGTAAGTTAGTTTACTTACATGTTCTTATTAGCAAAAAACATAATAGTTATAACTTAATACTCAAAGCAAAATGTTCAATAAAAAGAAAATTATGATAAATGCTATCTCTTCTTAATATCACAGGGAAAGAATATACGGGAATATACCAATTGTCCACAAGGAAAAAATAAACCTGTTATAGTTCTATTCTCTTTTGTTTTCCTTACTGAAAATTTAGAAACTGTAACAGGATTACCGAAGGAAATATCAGAAGTTAAGAGAGAAAAAAGAAAACAAAAGAATAAGAATTAAAGATGAATTTCTTACAATGCCTCCAGTAAATTCTTTAGAAACTTGAAAAATAAATGCCAAACAAAATGTTTTTCAAAACTATTATTATTATTATTATTATTACTTTGTGAGGAGTCTCGTTCTGTTGCCCAGGCTGGAGTGCAGTGGCGTGATCTCAGCTCACTGCAAGCTCCGCCTCCCGGGTTCATGCCATTCTCCTGCCTCAGCCTCCTGAGTAACTAGGACTACAGGCACCCCTCACCACGCCCGGCTAATTTTTTGTATTTTTAGTAGAGACGGGATTTCACCGTGTTAGCCAGGATGGTCTTGATCTCCTGACCTCATGATCCGCCCGCCTCAGCCTCCCAAAGTGCTGGGATTACAGGCATGAGCCACCGTGCCTGGCCCAAAACTATTATTTTTATTAGCATTAATCAAATATTGAAAACAAAATAATTCTAATCTCCAAAGAAGCACAGAGTAGATTGTTTCCCTAGCAATAGCTTGATTTTTGGTAAGTCTTTCGAATATTTTCTATTTTTCAATTAGAGTAGAAAACACAACAAAAACTTTGCATTCATTAAGATAAGAAAATCTATAAAACTTATTTACAATAAAACTTTGTACTGTGTTGGGCTTATTATATTCATTTAATTAAACTTAACCAACTGAAACCAAGATAACTTGGTCTATTCGCTCTATTTGTTAACATTTTGTTGCTATTTTGATAAAATGTTCTAGTTGCTACCTTTTAAAAAGTCATCTCCTTATCATGATCTCTTTATTTACATTTTCTTAAAAATTGAATTTTCCATCTACAATTATAATAAGGCAAAATAGAAGGTCTAGGGACCATTCATTGTACTAGCTTTTCCTAGTATATTTTTCTATATAACATCTGAGATGGACTGAAAATACAGCATTTAACAACAAGAAAACAGTTTTTTATCAATAATGTGGGTTGCAATTTAGTCCATAACTCAACAAACCTATGTTTGTATGCTATCTTTTTCATTTTCATGGGGCTGTTTATCCCAACCCCTTCATTTATTCATTCATTCATTCATCAAAATATATTTGTCATACGTTTTAGGGAACATAATAGATCAAGAATGTCGTCTAAATACTGATAAGGTCCCATAATTGGAACCCACTAAAGCCAAACCCAATATGAAAGAATACAAGATTAACTAATACAAGAATGAAAATGTATGTATTATTTGGAGCATCCTTCTGATATTTTGAGCCGGATCAGAGTATAGGAAGTTAGTAAGACATTAAGCCAAAAATAGAACAAACACATAAAAGCCTGAATTCAAGTCCACTATTTAATAATTCAATGTGATCTGAGTTCCTAGTAGGTGAGATTGAAGGGAAATGACATTAACCCAGTGATTTTGATACCATTGGTCAAAAACCTGTGTCCTGACACTAACACACATAGGTATGCTCACCCTCCTCCATTTTAAAACATGAGCCCTTGGATGGCTCACCTACTAAATATGATTTTCATGTCAGATAATCTAGGAAGGTTTCTTCTAGGAGGTGACCTTATGCTTTTTGCATTTCTAGGGTTTATATAGTAATAAAAGAGAGAGAAGGTCCCTTCAGGTCCATGAACAAATGCTTGTATCAGTGGAAAGAAAAGGTGAAAAAAATGTATGTGATAATTTCACATAATATATAATAAACAGTTTTTCAACAAATCAAAGGAAAGATATTTGCTCTTGTTCTTTGTGATTGTATTTCCAAAGGGGAAGCATTTCATACTGTTGCTCTTCATATACTTGAGTATCTACAGAACCTCACTTAAGCAGTATCTTCTGGATTTAGATGAAGCTATCATTTCTGTGTATCTGAAGGTTGCACTATGTTTGTAATTCCTTGTTTTAGCATTAATACTGATTGCTGCTGTCATTTAAAATGGACAGACTAGATCAGGTAGACATCTACAATTATTGGTTATTCCCAACTGTGTTACATTATTTATCACATCCTTAAGCAAAGCATATACCTTTTCTACCCTGAATACCATTTTCCTGCTTTAGCTCATCACATGAAAGTTCTTTGTATATCATGTTACCATATATTCCGTGGACCAAGAAGTCCTAGGAATTTGTGTTATTCTAGGTATTTCAGTATTGGTGGTCAGAGAATGACCCAAGGTCTTATTATTAGTTATAGTTTCATTAAATGTGACATAACTTTGGACATATGAAACTGATCAAATATCTGAGAAAACTACATGCCAGAGATGTATGAAGTACAAGTTACCATAGAAAGCCTGAACTGTGTGTTTGAATCATAAAGTATTCATTGCATTGTACTATGCATACAGCAGTTGCTCAGGTGTCCAAGTGAGATGTTAAAGAGAAAGAAAGTAGGTGGGATTAGGTTATCTTTCAGAGGCTAAGGAAGAGAGAGCTATAGAAAGCTAAAGAAGATAGAGGATAATTTTCCTGATTAAAAAATACAAATAATAATAACACCTAATACATATTGAGTAGTTACAGATTGGTCAATGCTTTAAATATATTAATTTGCATAACCACCTTGTAAGTTAGTTGGCATTTTTCATCTCTTTCATAAATTATTAAATGAAGGTACAGAGAAGTTGATTACTTTATCTTAAATCACACAGCTGGGACATAATGGTGCCAGAATTTAAACTAGGCAATCTAACTACAGTCTATTTTGGCACTTCAGTAATGCCTGCCCAATCCATGTGGGAAAGTAGGCAGTTGCCTAGACAGAATAAGCTACACAAACATACTACAGAAGAGGTGGTCAGAAGTAAAACACTATATAATATGGATTACCTTATTTTGCTACTATGTGTCCTAAACAGCACCCTTTTCAACCTTGAGAAGAAATCATCGTTTCATGAAATATCCAGCTAAAGTATAAAAGTTCAAGCAAGTAAAATATTGTGATGCAAGTTAAAATTTCACTTTGTGGTGATCAGTCGCTAGCTAACACTTGTTTTCTTGTTTTTATTCCATTGTGTTTTTGTGCTTGTGTTTGACATTTTTTGGCAGTCTTGTTAATTAAGCAGAAGTTATCCCTGATTAATGTAGTATGAGCTGTTCCTAAAGTACTATAAATAATGCAGTGATTAATTGCCATATCTAAACGAGCCACCCTTTAGCACACTTCAAAGATGGATTTTCTTGGTTGTATTTGCTGTCGTCTACTTAATAATGATACTCATGTGGAAAAAAATCATCTTCCTTACTTCTCTTTCTACAGAAAATTGTATTTAAACTATTTGAAATAATTCTTTTGGCTTGGTAGTCAAGAAAATTCATCTTATAATTATTATAATAACCTAAAAGATTCTGCTGAATTCAACACAATTAAAAATTTAACTGCCTTAAAAATGTTTAATAACAATACAAGACTTAATTTTAACATTTGAAATATAATTTAGATAGTCATGAGAACTATGTTTTTTCCATTCATTAAATTATTTTATCCTAGTAAATACTTAATAATGATTATTAGCTCCTCTGGTTACAAGCAACTTTTGAATTTTTGTTTAATCAGAGGAGTATAAAAAGTAGTATTTTTTGTTGTTAGGACTGCTGTTGTAAATAGACAATTTTTATTGAAATATCAGAAGAAACTAGAAGCTTGTCCTTGTGGTTTTTTTTTTTCAGTTCAAAAGCCTATTATTACCCTATAGAAATAGTGAGAAATATTGTTAAATTGACTCACTTATTGATGTTGAGATTTTTATTTCTCATATTCATTACACTGAGGGTTTTGTAAATTTTAGTTCTTTTATAGATGTTTTATAGTTATTCCTAACTACCACATGTTGGTGGCTTATGTGTCATTGTTCATAAAATATTACTTCCAGTTTATCACTGTAGTCATCATCATGAGCATTTCTTGACTACCAAAATATTTCTCACTCCCAAAAGTTTGGAACTTAATTTAAAAATCCAATTTATTTTATCCAAAGGAGTTGGTCATCCTGTCATATCAACTACGATCACAGGGAACTTGGAGTATTGTCCAGTTGTAAGTTTAACATCCCAAGGAATATAGAAAAATATAATACATGGTATCATATGTTTCCCACATATGAACAGGAAGAGAAAGAAGTACAGGTCCTTTGAAGAAAGAATAACTCTTTCCTTTGCAATAATTATCAAACTCCTAGTTGAGAGAATTTTGTGGAAGATTACCTGAAATAAATGAAGTTTATCTTGGATCAAGACAGACTACTAGAGAATTAAGAACTTGTATAAAACTGCTTGGGTCCCTGTAGGACTGTTTTTATTGAATTTCATTTCAGTAACATAATGTCACAAGAATTCCAAATATCACTTGCCATACTATGTAATATCATCTCAGACAATTCAAAGGAAATTGGTTTAACACTACTTGAAGAGCATAGAAGCCCAGAGCCTTCGCAAATATTTTCAGAGCAATTCTTCCTTTTCCATTTCTCTTTTTTATTTTTTAATTTATGAATATTATAAATCTTCTAACAATTTGACTAATTGTGTTGCTCCTCTTGTTTTGGACACTGCAAAAAAATCTGCAGCTCATCTTCATCATCATTTCTTTTTAATACACCTGTGCTAACTTACTTTCGGCTACAAAATTTAACTACCCTGGTTCTCTCTTGCACCCAACTACCCTCTGTTTGCATTTTATTCTGGAGTGCCAAAAGTATTATTGAACATCAGCTCAAATCTGTTGTGAAGGAAAATAGGATATAAATCAGGTTATGCATAAGAAGCATTACTCCCTCCAGGTAAGCATATGCCATAAGAATGTAACAACACTTCTCTTATTAAGTTGTACACAATCTTTGCCACAAGAATATCACTTCTCTTCACTTTTTAAACTCTATACCATCTTCCCCACTGATTTTCTAGTATCGTGTCCCTAAACACATTATGGACTTGAATAACTACAAAATGTACACCTCAATATCCATCTCTCCTCGCTTCACCTCAATTCCTTTCTTTGTAACTGCCTAATCAACACAAAATCTCTAACTTCTAATAGAAAATAATTTATCTCCTAAACTCACTGGTGTTCCATTCTTACTCATCTCTGCAAATACTGCCAAAACTCACTTATTTGCTAAAAAAATTAGGATGATCCTTAACTCCATTTGCTTTTTTAACAATGGTCTATTAGCTAGTCTTACTATATAGCTCTACCTACAAGGTAGATTCAGGATATATTTCTTTCTACCACATCAGCTAGATTCCCAGTTTGAGCTATCATTTTTCATGTAGACTCCATTTTTCTCGCGTTGGCTCGCTAGAATCTACTCTCTACAAAGATGGCAGGATTTGTCCCATCTTCATAGCCTACACCATAAGACTGAGGTGTTTTAAAACCCAAAGGGAGGGATTGAAACTGCCTTTGCAAAATTATGACTGAGACAGTAAAAGAGATCTAACCTAACAGGCTCTATCTTGTTCTCCAAGCTGTCCTTGTTCATTCCTGGGCGTATGCTGAACTAACTTTGGGGGGAACTTAGTTTATAGTTTAAAACAAAGATGGTAACAGTTCTTTCCCAAAACAAATCTCTTTCTTGCCTGGGGACTAGACTGCTTTTGCGGGACTAACAAATTAGCCACAAGATTAGAAATTATGGTTTAGGAGTAATGCAGCTGGAGGCTACAAGATTCTGACCCTCCCTGAACTGCTTGCTAGATCAGTGCTTGAGATATTTTGCAGACCTTGCACTTGATGGATTAGCTGGCACCACCCAGATGGGTTAACTGGCTCCTCTGATCTTGTGGCCCCCACCCAGGAACAGACTCAACACAAGAGGACAGCTTCAATTCCCTGTGATTTCATCTCCTACCTAACTAATTAACACCGCTGGCTCACTGGCTTCCCCTTCCCCACCAAGTTGTCCTTAAAATCTCTGATTCCTGAATGCTTGGGGAGACTGATTTGAGTAATAATAAAACTCTGGTCTCCCACAAAAATAAAATAAAATAAAATGTAAATTCAAACTTGTCTCATCTCTGCTTAAAACTCTCCAGTGGACTCCTATCATACACTGTCCAAACTCATTTCATGCCTATAATGTTCTCTTTGAACGAATCCCTGGAAAGGTCTCTAAATCTGCTCCTAGAACTCTCCATTTCACTCATTCAACTTTAGACACACTACCCGGCTCTTCCAAAAATCACCAAGCTTTTTCCCACCTGCTGCCTACCCTCTGCCAGTACTGATCTGTTTTAGGTAGCTGAAAGATTCACATTACATCACTGAGGTCTCTAAGGCTCATTTGCATTTCCTTAGATGAGTCTTCCTCATCCACCTTACTCAAAAAGGGAAGCCTCATCTCATCCTCCACTCATGCTGCTCCAAGGCATCATTCTCCATTCCTTTCTCTGCTTAATTATTTTTCCTGAACTTCCACTGCTTGACATTAAATAAAATATTTATTATTTTCTGACTCTACCACTAGAATGTAACTGCAAGAAGCGAGGAACTTTTTCTGTCTTTTCACCACTGAATCCCAAGCATCCCTTGCAGATTTGAACTATTGGCTCTCTAATAGTTAAGCTATTAACTATACTACCCAGTGTTCTTTTCTTTGTATAGTTCTGGATTAGAGTTGAACAGAAAAGGAACTTGTGCAAGATTTGGGATAGGAAAGTGAAGCAGTGGGCATTACTCTCTAAACCTACATCAGACACAGAGAGTGACTGAAACAGAGCGCCCAGCAAACTCTAGCTTGTTTTTACTCTCTTCTGCTTTGTGTCTAATTCTTATTCTCATCTATTAGTCCTGTTTGAATAACAGCAGCCTTGGACCCACTACCAGACTCTTAGCAGTGGGCCTACAGCAGATAGATCTTACAGGGTCAAAAGCTTCTAACTGACTTTTCTACAAACTTTCATTTGCAGTCCCACTTCAGCAACCAAATGTGCTTGGGTTCTCAGCATTCTCATGCCAAAGGTGACAGTGCTTTGGGAAGACTGACTGGTGATCTTTTCTCAAACTTTCTCCTTTTTCCATCTGTATTTCCTCAGCTCCTCCCACAATTGTATAAGGTCTAATTCCTATAACACATCCATTGTTCCACTGTACTGAATTCAAGTACCAGATATATAGAATGAACTCAGCAGGTATTTACTAAATTAATAAATATAAAACAGTCCGTACAGATCTTAACACATACAGAGCACTCAACAAACAAATAATTTAAATAACCATGATTAATAAATATAAATAAAATTAATAAAAGATAAAGCTCTCAGAGCTGATCATGTAAAAGGTGCAGCATTTGGAAACTAGCCATATGAAAAAGTAAATGATGGAACTGAAAAAAACAAAAAGAACTGTTCTCATTTACCTTTTAAGTTGTGTAGTAACTGACAGAGAATTTACATTAAAAAAAACTTCAGTGTGAGGGCCAGGCAGCTTGGCTCATGCCTATAATCCCAGAACTTTTGGAAGCTGAGGCAGGCAGATCACTTGAGGCTAGGAGTTTGAGATCAGCCTGGACAACACGTGAAAACACTATCTCTTCTGAAAATACAAAAATTAGCTGGGCATGATGGCACGTGCCTGTAATCCCAGCTACTCAGGATGCTGAGGCATAAGAATCACTTGAACCCAGAAGGTGGATGTTGCAGTGAGCTGAGATCACACCACTACACTCCAGCCTGGGCTACAGAGAGACACTCTGTCTCAAACAAAACAAAACAAAACAAAAAACATTTCAGTGTGGGTGATGTCCATGTCTGCTTCATCTATTTGAAAAGTTATCATTTGAAATTGGTAATTGATTTTTGTATTGATGTATTATGTGAAGGACAGACTAGGGATTGAAATTAGGAGAAGACAAATCAAATATGAAAACAAACCTTGTAAACAACAAAAATATGATTTGTCTTATAACACAAGCATGTGCTCTCCCTTTTATTATATTTAAAATATGCTAATAAATGGTCTTCAGTGATAAACAGACTCCTGTACTAGGCTGGAGCTTAGATAGGATAATCATAAAATTGTAATCAAGTTATTTGATTCTATAAATTTAAAAATAGTTTCTATGTGCATCATAACACCATATTAGGTGTTAAAACTTACTATTTAAAAGTTTATGGTAATAATTTCCAGACAAATGCAATAAATACATAAATGGATCAATCCAATTAAGTTTATATTATAGTTTAGTATTATACATGCTCTCTAGCAAAGCTATAGCAAAGAATTGACAAGAGTGAATTTGTAGTCACAGCAGAATTCTCCAAAGGGAAATAAATTTTCCAGTGATACATTTTGTGAAACCAATTTTTTAAAAGAAGTGCTAAAATCCCTTCACTGCAAACAACTCTATAATCCCCAATAATAAGCTATATGTCAAGACTATATATTTGTTCTAATTCATGCTGAAAATATCATACTTTATAATAATGACTAAGAAACTTTGATGAAATTTCATTTTTATATTTTCAGAGAACAACAGCGTAAAATTTGAAATATTTAAGTAAATAAAATAGGTATATTTTCCAATTTTCAGAGTATATTTTCTGATGATTACTATTGACTATATAAATAACCACTGAAATAAATGTCCTAGAATTTTTCTAGTGAATCATTTTTTCCTCAAGTTACAGCACCTAAATAAGTGTTAGTTCTTAGAGATGGGTTTTTAAGGTAAAAAGGAAGGAAGAAGGTGATTTTGAAATTTCCTGCTATCTTTTTCCTCTCAAGCTTTGCTCATTCTCTTCCCTTTTCTAACTTTTACTCAACTTTAAGAAGCAGTTAAAGAAATATCTCTTCCAAAAAGTTATTTCCCACTTGAACCTGCCCAATCACCTAACAAGACCAGAAACACGAGATATGACTTCAATCTGGCTTCTTACCATTTTCTAAAATCACAAATATAATGTTCATGTTGTTTAAATTTATTTGACGTATTTTATCCGTCATCTTAATTTACCAGAACTGACACTCAGTTGTGATTAGATGCTCAGTCTTAGGCTATTCACCTACCTCTCGATTCTATCCCAAGGCAGTCTCATCCATATCCACAGCTTCAATTACTTCTAGAGGCAGATTACTCATTTCCTGAGCTACATGTAAGAGTTTTAGGAGGTTTAAATCACATTCCCTTTCCCTCATAAGTTAAAAGCCAATTAAGAGACAGTCACAGGAGAAAGATAAATGGAAGACTGAAGTGTAAGCTTTATTACTGGTAGACTGATTAGAGTACAGTTTATCTCTGTGACCAAAATGAGCTTTCAACATACTCTACCTGAAAATGACAAACTTGTCTACATTTTAACAAGCAAGAAGGATAATTCAAAATCTATCCCACTATAGCAGAGGCAAATTAAGCTTTTAAGCTTTCTGGAAATATGTAGAAATACCCCAAACCTTCAAAAGAAAGAGACGAGAGAAAGGAAAGAGAGGGAGAGAGATATGAGTACAACATTAACCTCCAAATTATTAACCAGATAATTTTTCCATCTTCACTGGAGAGCACTGAGTAAGAAGTAAAAATAAAGGCCAACATGTTATTATTATTATTTTTTGAAGCTCTTCTCTATAGAAATATGAGGCCAGAGAAATGGAGATTTCTTACTAACAGGACCTACTAAACATGTCATTTATGGTATCTAAACAAACATTAACCTAATGTCCTTTTTAGGGGGGTGTGGAAGGAGGAGACCCAAACTTGATGAATGATATCATTATCATTTAATTAAGCTAGCCAGAAACCTAGATTTTGTCCTTGACATCTTTCCCGCCTCTATCTTTTTACTCATTTGTTAGCAATTCATCTCTACTTTGTCTCATATTTAAATCTCTGATCTGCCTCCAATTCTTTCTGTCCATGCCACCATTATCTTGTCCTTGCCCACTCATCTACTTCTATCACCATTAGCCCTCTCTAATCTTTCCTCTACACTACAGCCAGTGTAACATTTTAAAATCCCAAATGCAATCAGGTCACAATTCCACCACTCCCACCCCATCCTTGTCTTGACGCTTGGTGTTTGTTCCCTTTACAGAGCTAAGGTCTTCAATGGTCTGCTCCTTATCTGCCACTCAGCCTCATTTTGCAGTGTATTCCATTTCAGTCTTTCCATGAGCCATTTTGGCCATCTCCCAGCTCACTGGATTCACCAAACCCATTCCAGCCATAGAGTGTGGGGACATGCTCATTGCTCTCATTTATACTCATTCTTCAGATTTCAACTCAGTCACTGCTTCTTCAGAGAAGCATGTATGAACACCAAATCTACCTCAGACTCTTCCATGGTACAACATAGTAGCTCCATGTATTGATCCTTTTCTTCATGTATAACTGTATTAGTCTCTTCTCACACTGCTAATAAAAACATACACACGACTGAGTAATTTATAAAAGAGGTTTAATGGACTCATAGTTCCACATGGCTGGGGAGTCCTCACAATCATGGCAGAAGGCAAAGGATGAGCAAAGTCACATCTTACATAGTGGCAGGCAACAGAGCCTGCACAGGGGAAATCCCATTTATAAAACCGTCAGATCGCATGAGACTTATTCACTACCACGAGAACAGCATGGGAAAGGCTTGCCCTCATGATTCAATTACTTCCTACTGGGTCCGTCCCATGACATGTGGGAATTATTACAATTCAAGGTGAGATCTGGGTGGGGACACAGAGCCAAACCATATCAATAACTATTATGATTTTATATTTTTTGTTAATCATTTGATTAACATCCACCTCCTCACATTATACTGCAACCTCCACAATGGCATGTAATATGATAATTTCTGAACACTATTATATATAGTGCTTAGTACATACCTGGTACTTTTTAAAAATGTTGAATAGCGATGATATTGTGCCTTTACCTTTTTGTTACAATTAATTACTCTACTGGAGCGTTAGTTCCTCAGGGGGTAATTGCTTTATATTTTCCCTATCTGAATCCTTATGAGCCTTATGAGCTAATCACATCTTCAAGACCTCATCTCACAACACTGTTGCACTGAGAATTAAGTTTCCAACACATGAATTTTGGGGAACATAGTCAAACCATAACAATTGTCTTTGGGATTACTTTTCAGAGTATTTTGCTCTCATTTTATTTTCATAGCCCTTCTAAATTCTCCGTTACTTATATTTATACCTAGGACTTTAAAAGTCAAATCTGAAATGTGTTCTTTATGGAAGCATGATTATTGTGTATTATTTTCCCATTTTCAAAAACAAAAATTTATTTTTATTAACTATTACATTGCCAATATAAACTTGCAGACAATTATTTTTGCACCTTCTTTGAGCATTAAAATTACATATATTTGAAAACACTGATGAAAGAAGTCATAGACGACACAAATGAAAACATCTCATGCTCATGGATGGGTAGAATCACTATTGTAAAAATGACTATATTGCCAAAAGGAAACTACAAATTCAATGTAATTCCCATTAAAATACAATAATAATTCCTCAGAAAACTAGAAAAAAAATCCTAAAATTTATATGCAGCCAAAAAATACCATGCATAGCTAAAGCAAGACTAAGCAAAAAGAACAAATCCAGAGGCATCACATTACCCAACGTCAAACTATACTACAAGCTATAGTTACCAAAACAGCATGGTACTGGTATAAAAATAGGCACCTAGACCAATGGAACAGAATGGAGAACGCAGAAATAAAGCCAAATATTTACAGCCAACTGACCTTCAACAAAGCAAACAAAAACATGAAGTGGCAAAAGGACACCCTATTCAACAAATGATGCTGGGATAATTGACAAACCACATGTAGGAGAATAGAGCTGGATCCTCATTTCTCAACTTATACATAAATAAACTCAATATGGATCACAAACTTAAATCTAAGACCTGAAATTTTAAAAATTCTAGAAGATAACATCAGAAAAGCTCTTCTAGACATTGGCTTAGGCAAAGAGCTCATGACCAAGAATCCAAAAGCCAACGCAGCAGAAACAAAGATAAATTCGGGGGACCTAATCAACTAAAAAGTTTCTGTACAGCAAAAGAAATAATTAGCAGAATAAACAGACAACCCACAGAGTGGGAGAAAATATTTGCAAACTATGCATCCGACAAAGGACGAATATCCAGAATCTACAAGAAACTCAAACAAATCAGCAAGAAAAACTAAATAATCCCATCAAAAAGTGGGAAAATGACATGAGCAGATGATTCTCAAAAGAAGATATACAAATAGCCAACAAACATATGAAAAAAATTGTTCCTCACTAATCATCAGGAAAATGTAAATTAAAACCGCAATGAGATACCAACTTTTTCCTGCAAGAATGGCCATAAGTAAAAATTAAAAAATAAACAGATATTGGCGTGGATGTGGTGAAAAGAGAACACTTTTAAACTGCTGGTGGGAATGTAAACTAGTACAACCACCATGGAAAACTGTATGGAGATTCCTTAAAGAACTAAAAGTAGAACTATCATTTGATCCAGCAAGCCCACGACTGAGTATCTACCTGGAGGAAAAGAAGTCACTATATGAAAAAGACACTTGCACATGCATGTTTACAGCAGCACAATTCACGATTGCAAAGATATGAAACCAGACTATGACCATCAACCAATGAGTGAATAAAGAAAATGTGATATATATATATATATATATATATATATATATATATATATACACACATACACACACACACACACACACACATACATGCGCATGCACACACACATACACACGCCATGGAATACTACTCAGCCATAAAATGGAATGAAATAGTGACATTTGCAGCACCCTGGATGGAGCTGGAGACCATTATTCTAAGTGAAGTAACTCAGAAATGGAAAACCAAACATCATATGTTCTCACTTATAAGCAAGAGCTAAGGTATGAGGATGCTAAACCTAAAGAATGATATAATGGTCTTTGGGTACTTGGGAGGAACTGTGGGAGGAGGGTGAGGAATAAAAGACTACACAGGTACAGTGTACACTGCTTGGGTAATCAGTGCACCAAAATCTCAGAAACCACCACTAAAGAACTTTTCCATGCAACCAAACACCACCTGTTCTCCCAAAACTATTAAAATAATAATAATAAAAATAAACAAAATTTTAAAAATCTATATTTGTTGTAGAGTTTAATGTAATTATCTCTACAGAAGATAATACATATAAAAGTAATCTGTCAGTGGTAAATTATGGTAAGAATATGAATTATTGCTAATATTATCAACAATTTCTGTTAAGATATATCAGTAATTATTCATGAAAATAAAATATTAGATGAAAATTTTACAAGATAAAATTTGCTTTTTATTTTTAAGAAGTTATGAAATACTTAATGTTATGGGTTTAAGATGACAATTTATCTTGTTCTTTTTCAAAAACAAAATAATAATAATAAGGCAGGGTGAAAAGCATGCTCTGACTACCGTAACATCTTGTCTAGTATATCTAGATACCAACATGAATGAAAACTTTCATGGAATAATGAAGCGAGACAAATTTCCACTGCAATATAATCAGCTCCTAAGATTTTAAATTCAGGTTTTAGTTTTTATTGGAAAATATACCACTTAGTGAGGTCTTCTGCTGTATAAATGGATCTAACCCTATAATAAACAATAAATTTAATGTTAGACTAACATAGTCCCAGTAGAAACTAAATATAAAAAAACCTTCATGCAGCATCCACATGTTATTCTATAGAATTTATGATGAAAATGACTGCTGGCAACATCACAGTATTTAAAAGGAGGTGTTACTTTCTAGGCTCACTGTCCACAACCATATGTTTGCCTTTGTACCATTTACTAGGATAGCTCATCACTGTCAATGGCACCATCAGCCAGAATAAATGACTCCTTTTTGCTTTCTCTCCTAAATCAAATTTAGATTCAATTTAGTGTTCCATCCCTTTGACTATCATCTGAAAAATGTTAACTCTATTGCTTCTCTTTTTGTTTATGTAATATTAATTATGAAAACTCCAAACTTGCATTAATATCACCATGTATTCTCCTTGTTTCCATAGCCAGTCTACTGAGGGCCACTGGAGACAATCACGAAAGTTTTGCAGATTTGTGTGCCCACAGATTCTGTGCATCCAGCCTCATTTTTGAAGATGCACGGCTATCTGAACATCTTTCTATATATCTCTAGTATGTTTTCTCTTCTCACTGTAAGAGAAGATGCTTTTAACTTTTACCATTCTAATAAATTGTTAGCTTCCCACTAGCTATTGTCTCAGACAGTAAGATACAAGGTGCAGCAAGATTCTCAAGCTAATCATTTCCAGTCTACAAACTTACTTATGATGCCAAGACTTTATTATGTATCACCATTGTCAGTGCAAAGCTGCAACTTCTACTTACCAAACAATATATTATTCCCATTTTGTTATTTTCAATATTTCCTTTTGTTCTTTTATGTTAACCTCATTCTAAACTATTTATCTAAAGTAATATTCTTTAAGTTGTTCCTACATTTAAAAAAATCCTCTGTCAACCCCATATCCTTCTCTAGCACAATCTAGTGTGTTCCTCTTCAAAATTTGTAGGGATCATCTCTCTTTTCTTAAAATCCATTTATCTTTCAAAATACTAAAATTTCTTCACATTACAGCAGTGAAATTACTATCACTAACATCAAGAATGTCTCCCAGATGCATATATTTAACACAATAAACAGTCATTTCTTTTTGAGATTCCCTTTCCCTTTCATTTTACAGAATTACAACTTCTCCCGTGTTTCCTGCAGCATTTCTCATCCCATCCTTTTGGAATCCTTCCCAAACACTTTCCATATGTAAACTCATTAAATGATGGAATTTCTTAAGATGTAGGTATTGCTGCAAGTTTATCACTTTGGACACCTTTCTTCCTTTTGATTTTCTCCTTATGTGTAATCTTTCTCCAGTGGCCCACAATCTAATCTTACTACTGACTTGGATAGTTAACTGGCACTCAAACTCAAGGTGTAAATCTAAACTGCTAATATTCTTCTTCCACCTTCTTCATCACTCACATTACCAATGGGTATTGGCCTACTATTTAAGTCCTTCTATGAAATGGATCATTTTTAAAAAAAACTAACATACATAGTTTAATTTCAACCTAATTTATTTTAAGCCTGTATACAATCAATGAAAATATAGGAAATGCTATGACTGGGTAAGGGTAGAGCAATGAAAAAGCTACATGCCTCCTATCAAGAAACTCACTAAGGATGGGAGGGGATGAGGGATGAAAAATTGTTTAATGGGTAATATTTGGGTGATGGTTACACTGAAAGCCCAGACTTCACTACTATGCAATATATCCATGTAATAAAACTGCACTTGTAGCCCTTAAATTTATACAAATACTAAAAAGGAAACTCACTGAAATTTAGTACAGTACAATGTAATAAACACAAATATGCACACATGTATCTGGTAAAGAGAAATACAGAGGAACACTAGAAGTAACACAAAGGAATGCTCCCTTGGACTGTCAGTAGAAAATTTCTGGAAGCAATGACCTCTGATTTGTGATGTGGAGGTCACATAGGATGTGTTCTAGTGAACAAAGGAGAAGAAGACATTTGCTACAGGCAGAGGAAAAACAGGTGTAAACAGATAAAAGTCTGAAATGCCAGGGTGTGCTTGGTGACCTGTAAGCAATTCAGAGTTTCTGCCTTGTAAAGTGCAACAGGGTATGTGGATGGGCTAATAGAAATGCTAAGTAGTATGGCAGGGATGAATAGTTATTTTTATTACAAATTCTCAGTGAATGAAATTTGAGTGTAATGAATTAATGTGAAAGTAGGAAAAAATGAGATGTGCTAAACTCATATAAAATGATTTGTTTCTAATTTTAAAATTATTTTACATGATAAATGAAAACCTTAGAGGTTAAAGAAGAGGGAAAAATATAAAAATTACAAATCAATATTGTAGAAAACATTGTTTTCTAGAGAAAAATATAAATGTTGTCCTCTTATTTTTCTTTCCTTTGTATCCACACTTCTAGGAATAGGTGATTCAGAAAAAAAAAATATTCAAAGATTTTTACAATGTGTATTGCAAAGAAGTAAAGTGACTTACTAGTGAAACACAAATATTCTTTAAAAATATGCAATAAATAAGTTGGCACATAGCTTGGTTTCCAATTTAGAAACAGTTTTTATGTCAATATGGAACTGTAATGGAAACATGTAGCTTACTTCTTGATAGAAATCAGAGTATAAACCATGATTACTTTTCTAGGCTAACTCACAAGAGCCAATTGAACACACACACCACACACACACACACACACAGGCACAAAAAACACGATATATAATTGCAATTAAAATTGAAAATAAAAATGTATAGTAAATAGATGATGGTTATTGGATTAGTCTAGGATCTGAAAATATGAAGGAGATAGAAAAAGAAGAAATACACTCTGTGGCCTGTAATCCCAGCACTTTGGGAGGCCGAGGCGGGCGGATCACAAGGTCAAGAGATAGAGACCATCCTGGCTAACACAGTGAAACCCCGTATCTACTAAAAATACAAAAAATTAGCCGGGCGTGGTGGCGGGCGCCTGTAGTCCCAGCTACTCGGGAAGCTGAGGCAGGAGAATGGCGTGAACCCGGGAGGCGGAGCTTGCAGTGAGCTGAGATCGCGCCACTGCACTCCAGCCTGGGCGACAGAGCGAGACTCCGTCTCAAAAACAAAAAAACAAAAAAAAGAAATACACTGTGGGTATATTTCATATATATATATATATATATATACACACACACACACACACACACACACACACATGCATATATATCTATATATAATGCACAAATTTATTCTTTATGTCTTGATACAGAGAGGCTTGAGACAGCATATGAAAATACAGGTGAAAAGTTTAAAAAGTGAATTTATTAAAAATCAGGAAAAGGTGGTTAAATATTGTAGGAAATGAAAGAACGTTAAGAATAAAGTAACATATTTAGTTTATACAGTGAAGCCTTGTATTTTGCTGGAGATTGATCTCTATTTTGTAAGATTTCTACCAGTCATTGCACAGAAAGACACATAATCTATAACATTAAGGTAAATATGAAGCAAATAATATAGTCAGTCTCACAAGCCTCCGTTTCATAATATTTCCACATAAAAATTCTAAAGGTCCATTCTGTAAAAATAATTTGAGGAGAAGTAAGGTGTCAAATGAAAGCAGTTCACGTACATAAATATCTGCTGGTATGGTTGAGTCAATAATAATTATTTTACTTTCTAAAGAAATAGCCAGGCCAATTCTGATATTAATAACAAGTAAGAACCCACCACATGCCAGAATCTGTGCTGACAAGACATAAGTTGTCTTCTTCAAGTGCTACATATCCATAAACACTTAGCTATAATCCTGAAATCCAAAAACATGATGAAAACCAGTGGCTGCTTTTATTGTTGCTGTTTGTTTTTTTCAGAAGTTTGACATTAAAACCCTTTTATTGTCAAATACTGTTGACCTGAACTGAGGTGAGACTGTTTATAATCTCTTCTTATTCCACTGAGAGTGACTATTCATGTGTTTCTTTGCAAAAAAAAAAAAAAAAAAAATGCTTTTGCAGACCTACTTAGGTTGTTAAATATTACACCGATATGTACCACATTACCTTTCTAAATATACAATTTTTTCTGAATTCTGAAAAATATCTGCCCCCAAGAGTTTCAGATAAAGGATTATTAATCTGTATTGCTATGTGCACTTTACAAATGATGTAAGAGAGGCTCAAGATCACACATCTAAAATGTGCTTGAAGTAGGATTTAAATTCAGGTACAACTTCAGAATTCAAGCTCTTAGCCCACCATGCATGTTGCTTCTGTATGAAAACTGTATCTCTAGTAGAATGTTAGCTCTGTGAAGCCAGAGATCCTGTCCAAATTGTTCAATCTTATCTTGCCAATGCACAGAATGGTATCTGGAGGATTCACTGCATACAAAATACGTGTGCAATAAATGTTCATGGATATATGAATTGTATCTCTCAACTAAGTTTTTTGTACATATTCTCAGACACTGAGTTCAAAATATAGTTCTTAGCAAGAATAGCTATCTGTGTTGATAGTTAAATGTACTGCCTTACTTTAACAGTCAACAAATGTAGTGTAACACGAAACATCTCTGTCATGGGAAGAAGCCTAATGAAAACATGTGCCCATATAGAAGTTCAGTTTGCCCCACTACACAAAGAAGTTGAAGCGTGTTCAAGGACAGATAGAAGATGCTTCCCGGAAAGTCATGTTGGGTGTCCTCCGAAACCCAAAAAGTTTAATGGCATGTGAAGGATATGCTAACAAGTAGCATAGCCTTGAAATAGGCTGAAGAGATACATCAAACTTCAATATAGCATTTATATTTTCTTATTCATTAAATCTGAGAAGTCTCACAAACTAGAGAGACTACTCCAAGGGAGAACTTTTATTATAGCCTCATCCTTCTCTCTTTATTAGAAGTGTAGATGACAGAGAAAAGCCAGTGCAATATCCTAGGGAAAGGTGATACAGCAAAGGTTCCACAAGAAAAAGACCAGCACAGTCTGTCCCAGGCCACACCCTGTTGAACAAACTCTAAGTACATTGTAACTCTCTTTCCTCTCTCCCAGAATTTCTGCAGGGATGTTGAAACTAAATATGTAGAAGGGAATTTCATATTCACTTAAAAATTATTGGATCAACTATATTTATTTTATAACCCAGGAAGGTATAGAATATTTTATTATGTGTATTTAAAATTTATTTTTAACATTAGTTTACTTATTATTGTATGTTCGGTCATACCAGCAGCCGATCCCTTTACAAATCCAAGTTCCTGAATGTTCTATAGTCCTAATTTTGAGAAATATATGTCTGAAATGGTGACTTATAAATTTACCTATAAAAGTAATACTATATATTAGACACCATGATTGAGTGACATAATCTATCAGAAAGTAATAAATACTTAAAAATGAAATACTCTATCCACACAAAACATATTATACCATTCTCTAGAGTTCATCTTCAGGTCTCTAGGCCCTTGTGTGATTTTTTTGAACTGGACACCTTATAGAGTAGGAAAATACATTTAATGGACCTAAAATGGTAACTCTGTAATGAGGGAAATAAGGGAAAAGAAGGCTGTCTCTTCATGCCTCTGTTGTTATGACACACTTCTTATTTTTGGTATTACAGCCAAAATACACGTGAAAAGCTTTCAATAACATCCAACATCCCTTCATGTTAAAAACCCTCGACCAACTAGGCATCGAAGGAACATAATTCAAAATAATAAGAGCCATATATGAGAAACCCACAGCCAAATCATACAGAATGGGAGAAACCTCAGGCATTCCCCTTGAGAACTGGAACAAGACAAGTACGCTCACTCTCACCACTCCTATTTAACATAGCACTGGAAGTCCTAGCAGGAACAATCAGGCAAGAGAGAAAATAAAATAAAAAGCATCAAAATAGGAAAAGAAGAAGTCAATCTGTCTTTTTCAATGATATGATTCTATATCTACAAAACCCCAAAGACTCCACCTAAACATTCTTGATAAACAAATACAGTAACGTTTCATAATACAAAATCAGTTAAAAGAAAAGTAGCATTTTTGCACACCAATAACGTTCTAGCTGAGAACCAAATCAAGAACACAATCCCATTTATCATAGTCACAAACAAAATGAAATACCTAGGAGTTTATCTAACCAAGGAGGTGAAAAATGTCTACAAAGAGAACTACAAAATACTGTTGAAAGAAATCAGGGACAAAAAAAAATAATAATAAATATTCCATGCTTATGGATTGGAAGAATCAGTATAGTTAAAATGGCCATACTGCCCAAAGCAATTTATAGACTAAACACTCTCCCTATCAAAATACCAAGGTCATTTTCACAGAATTAGAAAAATCTATTCTAAAGTTCATTTAAAACAACAACAGCAAAAAAAAAAAAAAAAAAAAAAAAAAAAAAAAGAGCTTGAATAGGCAATATAATTGTAAGCAAAAAAAGCACAAAGCCAAAGGCATCACATTGCCTAAATTCAAACTGTAATGTAAGGCTACATTAACCATAACAGCATGGTATGGTATAAAAACAGACACATCGACCAGTGGAACAGAATAGAGAATCTAGAAATAAACCCACATACCTAAAACCATCTGATCTTTAACAAAATCAATAAAAATAAGCAATGGGGGAAGGATTCCCTATTCAATAAATGGTTCTGGGATAAATGGCTAGCCATATGCAGCCATTGAATGAGGTCTATGAAACTAGAACCCTACCTCTCACCATATATGAAAATTAATTCAAGATGGATTAAAGATTCAAATGTAAGACTTGAAACTATGACAATCCTAAAAGAAAACCTAGGAAATATCCTTTTCTACGTAGACTTTGGCAAGGAATTTATGGCTAAGCCCAAATGCAACTTCAACAAACACAAAAATTGACAAGTAGGATCCAACTAAACAAAAGAGCTTCTGCACAGAAAAAGAAATTACCAACAAAGTAAACAGACAACCTACAGAATGGGAAAGAATAATTGTAAGTTATTCAGCTGACAAAGATCTAACACCCAGAATCTGTAAGGAACTTAAACAAATCAACAAGCAAAAAACCACATAATCCAATTTAAAAATGGGAAAAGTACCTGAACAAACACTTCTCAAAAGAAAACATACAAGCAACCAATAAACATATGAAAATATGCTTAGTATCACTTATCATCAGAGAAATGCAAATCAAAACCACAAGGAGATACCATCTCACACCAGTCACAATAGCAATTATTAGAAAGTAAAAAATAACAGATGTTGGTGAGGCTGGGGAGAAAATACAATGCTTATAAACTTTTGGTGGGAATGCAAACTAATTCAACCACTGTGAAAAGCAGTTTGGAGATTTCCCAAAGAACTTAAAAAATAACTACCATGTGACACAGCAATCCCACTACTAGGTATATACCCAGAGAAAAATAATTCATTCTATCAAAAAGACCTACGCACCTATATGTTCACTGCAGCACTATTCACAATAGCAAGGACATGGAATCAACCTATGCGCCCATCAACAGTGGACTGGATAAAGAAAATGTGGTACATATACATCATGGAATATTATGTAGTGATATTATTTGGCTCTGTCTCCCCATCCAAATATCACCTTGAACTGTAATCCCCAGGTGTTGAGGAAGGGACCTGGTGGGAGGTGTTCGGATTATGGGGGCAGTTTCCCCCATGCTGTTCTCGTGATAGAGAGTTCTCATGAGATATGATGGTTTAAGAGTGGCAGTATCTGACACGCACTCTCTCTCTCTCTCTATCTCCTGCCACCATGTAAGAGGTGCCTTGCTTCCCCTTCGCTTTCCACTATAATTGCAAGTTTCTGGTGGCCTCCCCAACCATGCAGAACTGTGAGCCAATTAAACCTCCTTTTTTATATATAAATTACCCAGTTTCAGATAGTATCTTTATAGCAGTGTGAGAACGGATTAATACATGCAGCCGTAAGAAAGAACAAAATCATGCCCTTTGCAGCAACATGGATGTAGCTGAGGGCCATTATCCTCAGCAAACTAACTTAAGAACAGAAAACCAAATACCACATGTTCTTACTTATAAGTAGGAGCTAAACATTGAAAATGCCTAATTGTAAGGTTGGGAATAACAAACACTGGGCATCACTAGATGGAGCGGAAAAGAAGGGGTTCATGGGCTGAAGAGCCACCTGTTGGTTACTATGCTTACATCCTGGGTGACAGGATTGTTGGGACCTTAAGCCTCAGTGTCATACAATTTACCCATGTAACAAACTTGCATGTATATCTCTTAATCTATAATAAAAGTTGACATTTTTTTAAAAAAAGGAAAAATACCCAAAACTCTAGTCACTTCCAGAGACACAATGTCCCCATTGATTTGCACACAATGTCCTCATTTTCTGTTCTAGGCCAGTAAGAACTGTGCACATGTTTTCTAAAATGAAATCATTAATGTACATTACTGGGCATTTGACTGTAACATTATAATGATAGTAACTTTTTTAACTTTGACTTTTGAGTGCTTCAAAAACTAAAGGCCTAAAATTTAAGGGATAAATGAGATTTTATAATTTTAAAGTTATGTATTAGTTTTATTAATTGTATTGTGATGGTTAATATGGAGTGTCAACTTGATTGGATTGGAGAATGCAATGTTGATCCTTGGTGTGTCTGTAAGGGTGTTGCCAAAGGACATTAACATTTGAGTCAGTGGGCTGGGGAATGTGGACCCACCCTTAATCAGGTGTGCACCATCTAAACAGCCACCAACAAATACAAAACAGGAAGAAAAATGTGAAGAGGAGAGATGGGCCTAGCCTCCCAACCTACATCTCTCTTCCATGCTGGATACTTCCTGCCCTTGAACATTGGACTCCAAGTTCTTCAGTTTTGGGACTCAGACTGGCTCTCCTTTCTCCTCAGCTTGCAGACGGCCTGTTGTGGGACCTTGTGATTGTGTAATTTAATACTTAATAAACTCCCCTTTATATATACATCTATCCTATTAGTTCTGTCCCTCTAAGAGAACCCTAATTCATATATGATTTATACCGTATTTCTAAAAATACTTTGAAGTGATGATACTAAATTTCCATTAGAAATAAGACCTCATGAAATAGTTGTATAAGCTGATTTTTTTTTTTTTGTATTACTGAATGTAACTTTTACCTACTTTTCAGTTGAGAGTCAGGATATTTTTATCCTAATCAACTTTTTTCCCTTATGTATTGCTATGTGGAAACACCATATACATATATAAAAATGAATTATTGTATGAAAATTTAAGAAAACAAATATAAAAAGATTTTAACACCCACAGCAAGGAACAGAAAAAGAAATACTTGAATATCTTGAACTACCTAATCACTTTTATAATTTATATTACTTTTTTCTTTTCTATGTAGTACTTACCAAAATTGGTAATTACATAAAAATTTACATGGTTGTTAGTTCAGCGTCTGTCCCCGCTAATAGAATGTCAGTTCCAGACAGCAGAGATTTATAATAAATTTTATGAATAAATATAACTAACATTTTAACATTTTGTGTGCATTAATAACATGCCAGTCATAAGCTTAAGTATTTTAAATGCATTAACATGTTTAATTCTCATAACTGTCCTATATAAATATTATTATTTGCACTTTGCATGGATGGAAATGCAAAGCAGTTAATTAACTAGACCAAAGTCGAATTGCTGGGAGTTTGAACGCCATTCTTCAAACCCAGGCAGTTCTCCATCTCTGACATTCGAGCTATCAACCACAACCATATATCTGATATGGTTACAGAATGCTTAGAATCAACTTTATTTTTAATTTAATCTAATGTTAAGTTCCAGGATAAATTTGCAGGATGTGCAGCTTTGTTACATAGGCAAGTGTGTCCCATGGTGGTACGCTGCACCTATCAACCCATCACCTAGATATTAAGACTCTCATGCATTAGCTATTTATCCTGATGCTCTCCCTCCCCACCAGCCCAACAGGCCCCAGTGTGTGTTGTTCCCCTCTGTGTGTCAATGTATTCTCATTGTTCAGCTTCCACTTTTAAATGAGAACATGTGGTGCTTGGTTTTCTGTTCCTGTGTTAGTTTGCTGAAAATAATGGCTTCCAGCTCCATCCATGTCCCTGCAAAGGACATGATCTTGTTTCCTTTTTATGGCTGCACAGTATTCCATGGTGTGTATGTACCACATTTTCTTTATCCAATCTATCATTGATGGGCATTTGGGTTGATTCTCTTTGCTCCTGTGAATAGTGCTGCAATGAACATACATGTGCATGTTTCTTTATAATAGAATGTTTTATATTCCTTTGGGTATAATCAGTAATGGGATTGCTGGGTCTAATGGTATTTCTGGTTCTAGGTCTTTGAGGAATTGCCACACTGTCTTCCACAATGGTTGAACTAATTTACATTCCCACCAACGGTGTAAAAGCATTCCTGTTTCTCCACAGCCTTGCCAGCATCTGTTGTTTCTTGACTTTTTAATAATCCCCATTCTGACTGGTATGAGGTGTTATCTCATTGTGGTTTGATTTGCATTTCCCTAGAATCAGAATTGTTTTTCTCTTAACTCTATCTTCATTCTTTCATACAATGACTTTAGAAAAGTTACCTAACTCTTAATTTCTTTTTGGAAAAAAATGAATATAGGCATACCTAGATTTATTGTGTTAAACTTTACTGCTCTTTGCAGAAATTGATTTTCTACAAATTGAAGGTTTATGACAATCCTTCATTGAGCAAATCTATCGATGCCATTTTTCCAACAGCTTGTGTTCACTTCATGTCTCTGCGTCACGTTTTGGTAATTCTCACAATATTTGATTATTTCATAAATGTTTTCATTATTATGTTAATCTGTGATTAGTTATTTTTGATGTTTATTATCATTGCTTTGGTCAGCCATGAACTATGCCCACATAAGACAGTAAACTTAATAGATAAATATTATGCGTGTTCAGACTGCTCCACTTTCCAGCCATTCCCTATCTCTCTCCCTGTCTTTGAACCTCCCTATTATCTATTTTAGCAATATTGAAATTAGGCCAGTTAACCCTACAATAGCCTCGAAGTTTTCAAGTGATAGGAAGAGTGACATGTCTCTCACTTTATTTATTTATTTATTTATTTATTTATTTATTTATTTATTTATTTATTTTTGAGATGGAGTCTCACTCTGTCCCCCAGGCTGGAGTACAGTGGCGCAATCTCTGCTCACTGCAACCTCTGCCTCCCGGGTTCAAGCGATTCTCCTGTCTCAGCCTCCTGAGTAGCTGGGATTACAGTTGCGCACCACCACGCCCAGCTAATTTATTTTTAGTAGAGATGGGGTTCCACCATATTGGTCAGGCTGGTCTCAAACTCCTGACCTCATAATCCGCCTGCTTCAGCCTCCCAAAGTGCTGGAATTACAAGCATGAGCCACCATGCCTGGCCATGTCTCTCACTTTCAATGAAATGTTACAAATGTTTAGGCTTACTGAGAGAGGAACTTCAAAAGTTGAGATAGGCTGAAAGGTAAGCCTCTTGCACCAAACACCTGAGTTGTGCAACAAAACTGTTCTAGAAAGAAATTAAAAGTACTACTCAAGTGAAAACATCAATAATAAGAAAGCAAAAAAGCTTCTTCCTGATATGAAGAAAGTTTGGGTGGTCTGGATAGAAAATAAAACCAGCCACACATTCTCTTAAGCCAAAGTCTAAAGCAGAACAAGGACCTCTCTTCAATTCTCTGAAGGCTGAGAGAAGTGAAGAAACTGCAGAAGAAAAGTTGGAAACCAGTAGAGGCTGGTTCATAAGCATTAAGATAGAAGCCTTCTTCATATGAAAAACTACAAGATGAAGCAGCAAGAGCTAATGTAGAAGCTGCGGCAAGTTATGCAGAAGATCAGGTTAAGATCATTTAAAGAAGGAGGCTACACTAAACAAGAGATTTTCCATGCAGACAAAACATCTTCCTATTGGAAGAAGATGCCATGTAGGACTTTCATAGGTGGAGGGAAGTAATTGCTGCCTTCGAAGCTTCAAAGGATATGCTGACTCTCTTGTTAGAGACTAATGCAGCAGGTCACTTTAAGAGGAAGCCAATGCTCATTTACCATTCTGAACATCCTAGGGGCCTTAAGAATTATGCTAAATCTATTCTGCCTGTGCTCTATAAATGGAACAACAAAGCCTGGATGAATGTACATTTGTTTATAGCATGGTTTACTGAATATGTTAAGTGAACTGCTGAGATCTGGTGCTCATAAAACAAGATTCCTTTAAAAATATTAGTACTCATTTGCAGTGGATCTGGTCATCCAAGAGCTCTGATGGACATGTACAAGGAGATTAATGTTGCTTTCATGCCTGCTAACACAATATCCATACTTCAGCCCATGAATCAAATAGTAATACAAACTTTCAAGTCTTATTATTCAAAAATACATTTCATAAGGTGATACCTGCCATAAGTAGTGGTTCCTCTGATGGATTTGGGCAGATATGTTGAAAACCTTCAGGAAAGGATTCTCCACTCTAGATACCAATAAAAACGTGTGTTTCATGGGAGGAGGTCAAAGTACACAGATCAACAGGGCTGTGAAAGAAGTTGATTTCAACCCTGATGAATGACTTTGAGAGATTCAAGAATTCGGTGAAGGAAGTAGCTACAGATTTGGTGTAAATAGCAAGAGAACTAGAATTAGAATTGGAGACTTAAGATATGCCTGGAGTTCTGCAATCTTACTATAAAACTTGAATAGATAAGAAGTAGCTTCTTACGAATGAGGAAAAAAAAAGTGGTTTCTTGAGATAGAGACAATTCCTAGTGAAGATGCTGCAAACATTGTTGAAATGACAACAAAGGATTTAGAATATTTCATAAACTTAGTTGATAAAGCAGCTGCACAGTGAGAGAATAAACTCCAATTTTGAAAGAAATTCTACTGTGGGTAAAATGCTTTCAAGCAGCATTGCATACTACAGAGAAAAGATATGGGCAAGATAGTGTCAACTGATGTGGCAAACTTCATTGTTTTCTTATGCTAAGAAATTCCCACAGCCACCCTAACCATCAGCAACCACTACTCTGTTCAATCAGCAGCCATAAACAGTGAGGCAAGATCCTGCAGTAGCAAAAATATTAACGACTCAATGAATGCTCAGATGATAGTCAGCATTTTTATCAATAAATTATTTTTAAATGTTAATTATGTTTTGACATAATGCTATTGCATACTTAATATACTACAGTATATTGTAGACATACAGTATAGTGTAGACATAATTTTTATATGCAGTGGGAAACAGAAAAATTTGTGTGACTCACTTTATTATTATATTTGCTTTTTTGATATTTGCTTTATTGCAGTGGTCTAAAACTAAACCCATGATATCTCTGATGTATGACTGCACATAATTCCTGCCACAAAGAATTGGTGTTAAAACTAAATAAATTATTACATTAAAAAACCAGCTCCTAACATTATGCTTGGTTCACTATAGGTATCTGATAAATAACAATTGAAAGAATGAAGTTGAAATTACTATATAAACATGTAATATCTGCTTTCTAGTTCCTTTACTTGTTTATTGTTTAAACTATTGCCAAATTGCATATAATAAACTTCTTTGAGGAAAGAAATGTTAAAAATGTAAATGAACTTCTAAAGGAAAATAAAGGAATCTGACCTTGTGACCTTGGATTAGGCAAATTGTTTCTTATATATAACAACAAAAGCACAGCAACAACAACAAAATAGATAAATTGCACTTCATCAAAATTAAAACTTTTATGAAAGAAAGGATCTCATCAGGAAAGTCAAAAGACAGCCCACAGAATGGGAGAAAGTTTTTGCAAATCATATTTGATTAGCAACTTATATTGAGGTTATTTAAATAACTCTTACATGTTAACGATAAAAAGATAAATTTAAAAATTTGCAAAGAATTTCAGTAGATATTTTTCCAAGAAAGATATACAAGTGGCCATGTAAGTACATGAAGGAAGTTCAACATCATGAGTCTTTAGGGCAAGGTAAATCAAAACTTCAATTGGACACCACACTCACAAGGATAATTTTTTTTCAAGGCATGCAATAAGTGTTTGTGAGGGTAAAGAGAAATAAGAACCTTCATGCGTTAATGGTGGTAATGTAAAATGGCGCAGTCATTTTGGAAAACAATTTGGGGGTTTATCAAAATGTTAAACATGAAGTTATCATAGAACCCAGCAATTTCACTCCCAGGTGTAAGGTAAGGTAATTGAAAATATAGGGCCACACAAACACTTGCACACAAATATTCTTAGTAGCATTATTTGTAATAGCCCTTAAGGGGAAATAACTCAAATGCCCAACACTTGATGAGTAGATAAACAAATAGTGGTATGGCCATATAATGGGATATTATTTGACAATAAAAAGGAATAAAGTACTAATACATGCTACAGCATGAATGAACCTTGAAAACATTTTACTAACTGAAAGATGCTGTGACAAAAGGCCACATATTGCATGATTCTATTTGTGTTAAATGTCCAGAGTAAGCAAATGCATAGAGACAAGAATGTATGTTGGTGGTTTCTGGGAACTGGAGGGAGAGGTGAACGGGAAGTGACTGATAATGGATAGAGGTTTTCTTTTTTGGAGTGATACAAACGTTTTACCATTAAATAGCTGTGGTAGTTGCACAATTTTGTGAATATACTAAAAATGACTGAACTATACACTTTAAAAGAGAGAATTGTATGGTATTTGAATTATACCTTAATGAATCTCTTATTTAAAATGTGAATGAGACAGGTTATAGCTGCAATACTTACAGTAACTACATTTGACTCTGTATTTATTCATTATGAGTTTCAGTTTCCACTACTATGAAATAGTTAAGACTTATCTTTAAAATCTTTTCCAGCTCTGAAATTCTAATCACAATGAAATAATATGCTCTGCCCAACTGAAAAATTATATAATTATACACACATGCAATACGTAAAGTAACTACATCTGTAACTATGTATTTATTCATTGAGTTTGTTTCCACTTCTGTAAATTGAATAGTTGAGATATATCTTTAAAATATCTTCTAGCTCTGAAATTCTAATTACAATAAAATAATATGTTTTGCCTACCTGAAAAATTTTATATAATTAAATACACATGCACACAAACACACATGTATGTATATATATATATATATATAGAGAGAGAGAGAGAGAGAGAGAGAGAGAGCTGCTTTTATTCTATCCAATAAAGTTAAATTGTGAAATATGTAATTGGAGGGTCTTAATTGTGTATCTTTATAAAGCTTCAAAACTAAATTAAGAGATCACAAAAATAATATTTGTCAGCGAATAAGAATACAGTATAATCTAACCCCAAGTATTGAATTTAGCCTTACAATTATCATCTTTCGATATGACTTCAAGTTGAAAAGACAACAACCAGAATGTTTCACAGGGTAAAGCTCAACGGCTGTTAGTGGGATAGATGGGTTCCAATTAGGAGTGGGCCTGAAGGAAGACGGGAACTGCTTGAGGAATCTCGGACTATGAGCTCAACGGAGGAAGGGAAAAGGCAGTCAATGGAGCACAAACACAAATGTGACTCACCTCACTTCTGGAAAGAGCAACTGTCCTCGGGGTTATTATTATAAAACGGTGGCCTGTATTACGGTAGGATGCAGAAACCTGAGCTCATTCACAGAGTTCTCAATGACATACCCCGAGGGTCCTTTTTGATATCTCCACATTTACTTACCATGTGTGTTTTCATGAAAGTAAAATGTGGATGGCTTACAGAAACTGGATGAGTAATTTGGTCTCTAACTAAACCAGTTGTAGCTCTAGCTTTAAATGTAAAAAATAAAAATGAATAGATTACCAATTCAAGAAATAATAATTTTTTGAGTTGTTACGGACTTTATGAGACTATCTGATCCTTTTACTATATTCATGTAGTTATCACGTTTAACAGTGTGAGGCAGCTCACTCAGTCCCACTGCTCATAACATGCCTATTAAATTATATGCATTTTTTAACTTTCACTTTGTAATAATATGGCTGAAAATGTAGCAAATACTAAATAGTTGTACAATCATGCATTTCTAGTCTTTCTTTCATTTTTTTCCTTCATCTGCCCAATTCTTACTTCCAGTTCCTTCAACGATGATGACTACTCTTAGTTCCTTAAGAATAATTCCAGAATTGTTATGAATGTACAAGGAAACACAAATGAAGTTTATCCTCTACCTCACCTTTAAAAATAAGTGATTGGGAGCAGTGGCTCATGCCTGTAATCCCAGCACTTTGCAAGGCCGAGGCAGGTAGATCACTTGAGCCCAGGAGTTTGAGACCAGCTTGGGCAACATGGCAAAAACTTGTCTACCAAAAATTCAAAAGCTAGCCCAGTGTGGTGGTGTACCCCTGTAGTCCCAGCTACTCTGGAGGCCGAGGCAGGAGGATCACTTGAGCCCAGGAGATCAAGGCTGCAATGAGCCGTGATTACACCACTGCACTCCAGTCTGGGCAACAGGTTTCAAATTAATTCCTGTCTCAAATTAATAATAATAATAATAGTGAAATAATAATAAATGATTGATTTGATACATGCTGCTCTTTGGCATCTTGTTTTATTCCTGTTAAAGTATATCTTGACGATACTTTCATATCTTTATATATAGATATTCCATCTTCTTAATTGCATATGATTTTATTGTTTAATCTGCCACAATGTATTTAACATTTTAGGAGTAGTCAAAATTTGCCATGTCAAATAGCGCTGCAAATGAATGTCTCTGCATATATTATTTTGTGTGTGTGTGCCAGCATATTTGTAAGGTAAGTTCTCCAAAAGGAATATAGAGCATTATTTACATTTAAAAGCATCACCTACAGTCTGAAGCACCTGTGTGAACACAAATTTGCAAGTGATTCTAGTTTCCCCAGGCCACATTAACTTGGAGTAGGTATAGTGATGGTAATCAATACCATTCTTTCTGATTCAACCCTTACTCAAAGGTGTGGAAGAAATAAAATCGTTTCCATATGGTTCATTATTAATTACTGATATGTTCTCTTCATTAACCATGTACCCTCTGTCACTTTCTCAGACATTACTGTATTTTGGGTTGCTATTGTAACATTTTGTCCCCTTCCCCTCATGATGGGAGCTATGGTTTCAGGCCACTCTCCTCTACTACTTCTGATATTATTACCCCATGTATTTTCATGCCACTTCTATGCTGCAACAGTAACATAGTTGTTTTATGCTATAATAGGAGCATTTCTTTTCACTTTCAGTTTATTCCATATGTTGGGTGACATAAATAATTTCTTTTTTCTTTCTCTTGATCTTCAATTTTCCAATAGTAAACAATGTATTAGGCATGCCTTCTATTATATTTTTTGACTCTTGAATGATGTCAGTGCTAGGCTTGGTTAACAGCCTAACTCCTCCTCCATTATTTCTTCTGAATGGAGAAACACACACACACACACACACACACACACACACACACACACACATACAAACACACAGAGTTTTATTATAATTTTCCTCTCAGCTGTTTTTTCTTCCTTTTAATATAGTTAATAACAGAGAGACTAAAAAAAATCCTACATGATATTTTAGCTTACAAAGCTAAGTAATTTATATAAAATATTTGTGGAATAAATTATCCTTCTCAAATTATCTATAATAATTGTAATATTGTTCTGATTTTTAAAGTTTTACATGATTATTTTAAAGAATTTCAAGAATGTAATGATTCAACTTTTTGTAAATGGACCTAATGCTGGCATTTTAGAATACTTGCCTTGAAAAAAAACTAAAATACTTTACTTCTCAACCCTTGTTTTAAAACGTGATTCATTCTCATGACTAATAATTGATTTTTATATTTCAAATAACTATAAAAGTGGACAGCAGTTTGTTCTACTGTTAATGAGCAGTTTGTCCATGCTTCAGAGAAGCAAATAAAAAGGAAATCATTTTATTTAAATTGTTGCTAGGTCAACACTACTATATTGGAATTTCTTATTTAGAATTCATCCAGGACTGGAAGCACCTGATGTGCTGAAACTTTTCTGCTTCTCTGAACTATGTTTTAGATCTTGACTTCTCCTGGATGATAATAAAGAGTAAGGGATTAAAATAATTTCATAAAAGATATTGTCTTGCTTTGACCATCTTTAATAATTACGATTTATACACCTGTTGGCATTTACATGCTATCTTTATTGTTAACTATATTTTATGCACTAGCCTCATCTCCGTAATTAGGCTCTCACTCCTAGGTATGACATAATCTTCATTGTATATGCCACATCTTCTAGTGAAGTGTCTCTCCAATGGTATAAGCTTAAAAATTGCTTATTGAAGATGACTGTGTATGATGATGATAAGTCATTCTCATAAATAAGATCATTAGGCCATGTATATAAAAGCACATATCAGAGGTACTTACAAAAAGCAATCGGCAAACATTTGTTTCGCTGAATTTATCAAATATTTTGGCAAATATAACATGCAAGACATTCTGGGTCTCATTTTTCTTAAAATATAATGCACTACAAGCTCTCTATTTTACCTTTAGCACTTTAGTTCTATTGTTTTTAGTAATGAAATAAAACAGTACCATGCCATTGAAGTACATTTCTTTGTCACCTTGAATAAACATAATGCTTTAATTTACAGTGCAAATTTCCCCCAAAATATTTCACCAATAATCAGTCTAAACATTTCAGACCATATGTCAAGTCATTTAAGGTATCACTTTATTTTAAATCAGTTTGGCTTTAAAAAGTGAAATAAATAATATGTCTTATCATACTATTTCTCTGTATCATAAAAATTCTTCTATTACTTAAAAAGCTGTGTATGCATAAGAAAAATCTACTAATAGGTTATTACGTATTTCAAAATCTACTTACCAAGTACTAAGTACAAAATGTAGTTTTCTATAAGTATAAATAATCAAAGATGCAGAAAGATATTGGCCTTTAGGGGCACATCAGCTCAAAAATAATTACTCATTTATTAGTTACTAAACTTCAGTGTTCTCATCTTTGAAATAGGAATAATCCCACCCAACTCTCTAAGTGCAAGGAATGGAAAGAATATATTTAAAATATGACACATATGTATACAATAAATGTTACCTATGCTATTATATTATAACTAGAGTTTTTTAGATATTATGTGGTTTTATCTATGAGACACATAGATAGATAGTGCCAACAGCTACATAGAATAAATATATCGGGGCAAGAGAGCTCGTTATAGACCAGAATGAAATTTTTAAGTTAGAATTCCTGGGGTTGAGCTTTGGTTGTGCTTACTTAACATTTTGGTGCTCTTATATAAACCATTACAGATAATTATAAATTTCCTGATAAGTGAAAATATTTTAATAGATATTAAGTAATGAAGGGTTTCGCAAGATCAACAGTCAATATGTTTGAAAACCTTTTTTAAAAGGCTGTAAAAATAATATTTTATTTTATATATACATTTCTTAACAATATTTTTTATCGAGTGAATTACTTATTCATTGTCTTCCCACCTAATTGTGAGATCAAAGGGTACATAAATCATACTATATCCCTACCTTATTATGAATTCTCCAAAATCATAATTTTTAATTCTATGTTTTATTGTAAAAATATCCCCATTATTAGTACATCAACAAAATATGTGGGTATTTAAGCTAATTTTTGAATAATTGTGGAAACAAACTCTATATTCTACACAAAATATTTTAAAGAAAATATTTATGTGTTGTTCATTGTTTATTTAATTTAGAACTTAAAATTACTTGGTAATTTTAATGTGTTAGTTACTTTGTTTATTCTGCCAAAGCATATTATGGATAGAATTAAGTATAGATTCCTTTTTATTATCACTGTGCTCTAAGAATGAACAACTGAAAAGTCAACTTTTGGTAGGAAGACTAAAAATAATATTACACAAATATAAAATAACAAAATTACACACTAAGAGGAAACTAAATTTTAGTATAGCTGTTAAAAATAACTTATGTAGGAAAAAAGTATACAGATCTACATAAACAAATTTATTTCAATTAAGGCTTGTAAATAGTAATTATTTCACATCAAAATAAATGTTTACTGACAGCACATATAATTATAGAAAACTAATAATTCTTTCAAGTTGGAATTCATAGAAACTGAATAAATTTTTAGAATAAAAAGTATTTATTGCAGAGTTTTGAAATTTATGTTTAATTGGGCTTTGTCTATAATTATTTTAATTTTTAAGTCATTTTTCAGCCTGTGACCCAACTACTTACATTCTTCTAATTAAAATATAAGTAGAGAATGATATAAGCATTGTAACCAGTGAACAACAGACTCCAAAACTAGCCACAGCCAGATCAGGAAGTTTAGCTTCTGTGAAAAAAAGTTTTCTAGAATTTATGATTAATGAATGATATTAGTTGTTGGAATTAATCAAAACTGTATTGAACGGTAAAGTTTTATTAAAATTATGGTGCCCTGTGCACCATGAGTAAAGAACCATTTCAAATAAAATCAGTGAAAATAATTATTTCTTAGCTTTTTGGCTAAAGTCAAATGTAGAAGACACTGATTAAAAATAGTTGATAAATTATAATGCAATATAAAAAGTGGAATTGCAGATGATTATTGATATTACTACAAATACAAATAATATATTAGTGATCTTCATTGTAACAAAAAACAAGAGTTGGACAATGAGGCATTTCAATGTCACATAAAACCTAGCAGATATGATAAAATGAGATCAGTGGCATTTCTGCCGACTCAGTGAGTAACCTTATACAAACCAAATCACCCTTTGCTTAGCTTCCTAATAATTGAAAATATGATCACTGAAGCAGAGACACTCAAGTTCCTTTCAGTTAAAAGTGGTAACCAGTGACCAGTACCAGTATTTCTGTGACACTATCCAGCAAAGTGACAACTTTTATTCAAAATGACCAACACTAATATGATAGAAATATATGTAACTGGGAAGGCATTTCATCAGATCACTAGGCTTTAACATAAAAATTCCATTAAAATGAACATCGAGTTAGCTTTATTATGTTTATTCAGAAAACTTCTGGCTAATAATATTTTACCCCCTTTGACTGGACCAATACATACAAACTGGTAAGTTTCCCCAAAACTAAAGAGCAACTTGATCATGTTTGTAGCCAGGAATTAGTCAAATAAAACAATGAAAATTGGTTGGTGAAAGAAAATAAAACATGGAGTGAACAGAAAATGAAGCACAAAATTATATAGGGCAAATATTTCCTTACATAATTAACTGTATGCCACATATAAGTACATATAAGACTATTCTAGATTTCTAAATCCAACTATATTCAGATTTGTTCAGAGTATATGTAGGTTGAGTGCAGGGAAGTTTAGGAAATAAAAATTCCATAAAAGTAATTTGTTCCATACCTAGAAAAAATGATTGTTCAAACTTGAAGAGAGATATTATGTAAGATTACACTGCATCATTCTATAGAGTATCTATATGTAAAGGAGATGGAAAGATAATAATTGATATAACTTGAATATTTGTCCCCACCCAAATCTCATATTCAGTTGTAATCCCCAAAGCTGGAGGTAGGGTCTTGTGGGAGGTTTTTGAATCATAGGAGTGGATCCCTCATGGATTGGTCCTACCTATATAATAGTGAGTTCTCACTAGATCTAGTCATTTTAAAGTGTGTGGCAACGCCCTCACCACTCTATCCCTCTTTCTTGCTCCTGCTTTCACCATGTGAAGTGCCCGCTTCTACTTAACCTTCCCCCATGAGTAAAAGCTCCCTGAGGGCTCTCCAGAAGCAGATGTTGCCATGCTTCCTGTATAGCCTGTAGAACTGATAGCCAATTAAACCTCTTTTCTTGTAAGTTATCCAGTCTCACATATTTCTTTATAGCAATGCAAGAATAACCTAATATAATAATATCGATGAATGTGTTTGGCACTATGTTCAAAATAAACATGACCAAAACACACCGTTTTCAGTAACGCAGGGTAAGGAAGGCGATAAAGAAATATTTATGAAAAATATTAGTATGTTCAAAAAGTATAGTCTTTAGGTATGAATGATATTACTGGGACACAAAATAATATTTGAATGATGTCTAAAGTTTAAATAGTAATTTTGAGTCAGTGTTATTTTTCTAATTTTCATAATTACTTCAGTAATGTAACTGAATAAGAAAATACTTTACAGGGGGTACATACTGAATTATGCAGTATTAAAGGGTTATCATGTGTCCAATTTACTTTCAGAAAATCAGGGAAATATAAATATATATATTTTGAGACAGAGTCTCACTCTGCTGCCAGGCTGGAGTGCAGTGGTGCCATCCCGGCTCATTGCAATCTCCGCCTCCCGGGTTCAAGCCATTCTCCTGCCTCAGCCTCCCAAGTAGCTGAGATTACAGGCACACACCACCACACTCAGATAATTTTTGTATTTTCAGTAGAGATGGGATTTCACCATGATGGCCAGGATGGTCTTGATCTCCTGACCTTGTGACCTTGGCCTCCCAAAGTGCTGGGATTACAGGCCACCGCGCCCAGCCAAGAAAATGCTTCTCAAGGGGTGCACACTGAATTATGTAGAATTAAAGGGTTATCATGTGTCAAATTTACTTTTCAAAGGATCAGGGCAATATAAATCATTTTTTAAAAGCAAACGTTTTAAAAAGATGATATAGGCTCAGGCTAGATAATTGAAGTGCATCCTAGGTCAATCAATGTAAATCTTCTGATTCCTATTGGAAGCTGTCAGTGGTATGTTTTCATAAAACATAATAAAGTTTTGGAGAAAATACTGTGGATTTTTTCAAAAACAGAAGGAAGACAAAGACACCATCAGAGATCTGTCACGTCCTAAGGGAGGGTCATTTTTTAAAATACCTTTCCAGAATTGATTTTAGCAGCAGACACCAGTGTGGGAGTCTTTTCACAAAAGCAAAGAAAACACTGTAATGGGAGAGAGTGAGCTAGTCTTGTATAGCAAAACTGCCTGTGGCTACTCAACTTGCTATTATGTTTCAATCCTTCAAGAGAAGGAAGGGAAAGCTCAGAAGAGGGGTTGGACCTAAAAAGATCAAGTTAGTGAGAAGATCAAAATGAGTAGAGAGTGACATTATATTCCTTGAGGATGACATTTTTACCTATACGTGTAATCCACACAGTGGTCTATTTATTCCATATTTTAACATTTTATTTATCTATTCTGGACAATAGAGGAACTATGCATTTTTGTTTTGTTTTGCAAAGACCCTGGGAGTGCTTCTAAATGTTGAATGGTTTTTTTTACAATCTCAATATTTATCATTTTCATGATATACAGTATGAATGGTAAGTAGCTATAATAAGAGCAATGCCATAATTTTCTACTAATACTGTTAATATTATTTAATATTTATATTCACACTAAGCACAAGGTAACAGTAAGTACTTTACATATATTATGACTTTTAATCCTCAAAATAATGTCAGGAGGAAGGTGCTGAAAGTAACCATGAAGTCGTATCAATTGTTCAAGATCAGACAGCTTGCAAGTAAAGAGCCTTGGAAGTTTAACTACAGAGCTCATACCTCCTTGAAACAGTCTGATGACAATTTGTAACATCATTATGACTAAAAACTTCCAAAGTGTACTCACATATAGAGATTGATAGATTAATCAATCATTCTGGGCCACTTTCTAAAATGACTTTTTGAGAATTCAGCGCTCCTTTGGCTTTCAAATATGTACAATTTTATGAATTCGCAAATTATATGAATACTTCTTTGGCTATTAGTAAGGAAAATACTGTTTGTCAGTAAGGAAACTATTTGCTAGAACCAAGTTGAATCCAATAATCTCTGGTTTGATTTCATTTATTCAGCAAATATTTATTAGGCACCTATTTTATCCTGGGTACCAGGCTTGGTGCCAAAAATGCCATGATTAAGCAGACATAAATCCTTGACATCATGGAACTTTTATCTTAGTGAGAAAAACAGAAAATATATACGATAAAATTGTATATTATACCATAAGATAATAAGAGCTAGGAATAAAAGGTAAAGCAGCAAAATATGAAGTGTTTTTCTTATGTTGAGTAAAACCTGAAACTCTTCAGATTCCTCTCATCGATCCTGGAATTTCTCTCTGGAGCAAAGTGGAGGGGAAAGTATCTAATTTTTATTTAAAACGATAGCCTTTCAATTATATTAAATCATTATCATATCCTACCAGAAAACTTTCCTACTCAAAATAAATAGATTCAAACTTATTTAAATGCACATAATGTGAAATTATTTTGTTTGTTCTTCCCTGGACTTGATCCATTCTATTAACCTCCCTCCGCAGTCAGGGCCAGAACTAAACACAGCCTTTAGATGTGGTTGGACCAAGGGAGAGCCACCCTTTTCACTCTTCTTAAATTCTATATTTCTATATTTTATTACTAACAATGCAAATTCTAATTGATAAATTTGGGAATAAAAGTTAGATCTGACACTTATTTGCTGAATGATCTTGGGGCGGTTATTCTTTCAATTAATTTTATTTGTCATTATACTATTTATAGTCATTTCTATTCACTGGTTTGTTGTTGAAGGTAAATGAAGTGAGTACATGAAGGTAACTAGCCCCAGGTGTGCATATAGTATGCACTTAATTAATGTTTGTTTCTATCTGTCTTCCGTGTTAAATTCAGAATCTAGCTAAACAGTCATGCTGTAGTCAAATCAAATTTATCCCCATCTGTAATTGTGCTCTTTGTTTAATTGATGCTAGATTTTTTTAAAAGAGGACTTAAAATTGGCTCTGTTAAACATGATTTGCTAACCTCTACCTAATTCTTAAAATTTCTCCATTTCCCAGAATTTCTATTTTGTAATTCAACATATTCAACATATTTAATATTTCTTCCAGTTTCATAGCACCTGCAATTTTGAAAAGATTGAGTCCAGTGTTCTTACCCACATTAATAATGAACCTTTAGAATAATATAGGGGCAAGAATGAAACTATATGACAAATCACTAGATATCTCCTTACAGTTAATACAAATCCATAACACAGGGTTATCTGAGTACAAACTTTTAACCAATAATAAGCCTACCCAGTTCCATATCATCAGTGAATATTTTTCCATCTGGCCAACAGGAACACTAAAAGAGACCTTTGTAAATGCCTTATTGAAATTCAGATACATTAACTCGGTTTCTGTTCTCTTAGATGGAAGGAAATTCCAGTGATAAAGATTGTAGCACCTACTTAGAAAACAATCATGACATTCATAGTAAACTACTAAAATGGAAGTAGACTCAATTAGATATTAAAATGGGTCCTTTTAACTGTGGAGCTGAACATAATAAAAGTTTTAATGGTTACTTCTTAGAGTATTATTTCCTTTCAGAAAAGGTGGTCACATGAATATTTAGTGAAGGGAATCAGATTCATGTCATATCAGAGTCACTGATTTTCTATCAGACAAGAGAAAATTATTTAAGGAAAATAGTTTTTGAAGTTGTAAATTTTCAAACCCCATACTGTCCCTTTCCACATCTCTGCTATGTATGAGGAATACAGTAGGATCAACTAAATTATCACTTTTAATAAACCATAATTTCAATATAATGATCTCAGATACTGGTGGCCATAAAGAGTACTGTGGAAGTTATTTTTACAGAAATATATCTTATTAAAGGCTTGGCTATGAGTTTCTTCCTAAAACACCAAACTTCCTAAACTATCAACATTATGTTATTAACTACTGTCCTATAGAAATTGTTATGTATGCAGATATGTTTGACAAACTTTGGGTTAACCAGTATTAAGGGCCGGTTTCCATTACTGTGATGCTACTTAAAGTGTATGTTGAAAGGCGTTGTAAACTCCCAAAGAGAATGCGGTATATAATATTTCCACATTTCATTGACCACAAAACCTTTTTTTAATTGCATAGCACTTGTTAACATTTCCCAATTGTATACTTACAGTAGTCATTGTGATTAGATAATATTATTTATCAACAAAAAAATTGTAACAGGGATTCAACTCTGATATTAGGACTGAGGGTCAAGTCTATTTCATATATATACACAAACACAATCATAGAAGGCAAGGATTCAGGAACTGATTAACTGGCGGTGTGAGAAATGAATGCTACGGAAGTAGGGAGTTCTCAATATTTAGTGTTCATTACTGGAGTACCATAACCTGGAATTTCTTAGTAGGAACCAGTCTCGGAAAACAATGCAGAATTCCTGTGATAAAAGATGAGAGTCTTAGAGCCAGGGTGTTTAATGCTAAAGATAGCCGTTGTGGGGCATGATTATGTAGACTGTACTTTCAACCTTCCTCGGGGTGAGGAATTACATTAACCTTCAGAAGATCTAGTCATGGCAAGGTGTAGGAGGCAGTGGGAAGGTAAATGAGGTGGTAGCTCACCAGAGAGAGAGCCAGGGATACTATTGTAACCGTGGTATTGGGAATACTATTGTGACTTCAGGAAAATACTGCAACTGCATGCAAAATATTATGAGTATATAGCTGAGCCAGAGAATCCAAAGCTTTTTTCTGATTTTTAAAACAGCCAATGACCTAAAAAGGTTAAAACCCCTCCACCTACATAAGATTGTCTTTTTCTTTCTTCTGACAGCAATATCAACGACTGCCCTTGGCAGAATGATTTCGGAGAAAAATTGACCCCTTTTAGAGTTCTCTAGCAGAAGATGAGCAAACAACCTTTTTAAGCAGCAGGCAGTGCTGGTAGGAAATGTAAAATATTATGTCCAACAACGGTAACAAAAATTTTAGAAATCAAACAAAATGTTGGAAGATTTGTTGTCTTCTGTTATTCTATTATTGAGCATTTGTTTTACAGTAATAAATGTATCTCTGAAATCCAGCTAGACTTGGAAGGGAATAAGGAAAATATGGAACCCAAAGATCTTTGATTCTTTTTATGTTTGAACTTTAGCTAATTTGGCTGGCAATGGAAGAATGCTGAATTTTTGAATTAGGGAATGGAATTTTTATTTCTACCACAGACTTTAAAACAGATAACAAGAAATTTTAGGAAGGCCCCTTCTACATTGAGAAAGTCCTTTAAATAGGTAATCTATCATCTCCTTGTTCTAGTAATGGCTTCTGAATTATTATTAAGACATTCTCCACCAGAGGGAGCTTTCCAGAGCCACTTACACTTCCTTCCTCCCTTGTCTCCATCAAGTACATTCTTACTCATGTTCCTGCTCCTGGGTACAGTTACCACTGCACAGCATAGTCTCCCATCTATCCTGGTCAAATACTCTAGACAAATAGGAAAGGTCAAGGGAAGTCATCCTCAAGAAATATCCCTCTTTGTTGGTCATTAAGGAGCATATTGGAAAGCAAAATCAGGGCTTATAAAAATACACTTTGCAGAGTACCTCACATTCTCCACACAACTTGCTGGCTCTTATTTTATGCATAGATGCTGTTTGTTATTTTGGTTTTCAAAACATCTCTTAGACACAATAAAAAGTATGTGAAATAATTCAGTCATGTAAGGAAGAAGAAAAATATCAGAATTTACCACTGAAATTTTTCTAGATAACAACTCCAAATCTTTTTTTTTCTCTGCCTTTTCTGTGTTTCTAGAGTTAAGATGTTCTTAAAACCATGGGAAATTCCTTACTTTTTGAGTATATAAGGTTTTACATGAATTACATTAGTATAATTGAAATCAGGTGAAATCAACAGATAATTCTATTAACTGTTTAAACAGCTTCGGACCATCAATAGTGTGCTTTTAATTTGATATATTTGACCAAAAACGTCTTTTCTGTTAGGTTTTGTTCAGCACATTACATATGCAATCAAGAAACAGAGTAAACACAGATATGTATTATACATTGCACATTATCATCAGTACCAAATTAATGACTGATATATAGAATGTGAATCATTTTTTCTGTCAAATTTATAAACATGAGGCTATGTATCTCAAGTTAATCAGCTTTCTAATCCTCCATAGCATTGCCTGTTTTTCTTCTCTTGTCCCTAGAAAGTAAAAATATTTTGTATTAATTGCAAATTACTCAATAAATAAGTATCATGAAGCCAGAAGTTTGTTTTTAATCCATATTGTCTTATGAATAATTTTAATACATATCTTATTCAGAAGCAATACAGATGTCTTTATCAAATATTGCTAAATGAGAGTTTTAATTTCTAAAATTGCCTTAATTTAATCATAAATATATTCTGCTTTTTCATATTTTTTGATGTTACAACTTTATTTTCTCCATAAAAGATTTTTTATTTTTCCTGTTGACAATGCTGTAAGTACAATGCTACTTATTAAAATTAATTACTATTTATTTCCATAATATGTCTTTGTCATTACTGTGCTACTGCTGGAAATGGAGAATGTTGACAGCTTAATTTTTAACAGCCATACATTAGGACTTTAAAATTAATAGCACAGCCCTAGTTTTCCTTTAAGGAATCTACTGTAGGATATACATGGTACATACACTTTGATGATCAAATTAGCGATGCCCTCAGCATGAATAAACTGAGAGTGAATATACAGTATGCATTCCTGATAAAATCTAGCTCATAGGTCTGAAGGGAATAATGATAAAGTAGCAAAATAATAGATGTGTCTCCTAATTAGCTTTAAACTTTTTAAAAATAACAACAATAAGATGCAGGCATTACCATTCAGAATACAATGTTACTACATTGTAGAGTTTTAACTGGAGGGTGTCATTGAACAGAATATCATACAAAATACTGACAAATAAAAGTGAATTTTAATTGTCAAATCACAAAGCAATCCTTTCATTATCTGTGGTGAGGAGACGACATTTCACAAAGGGCATATTTTTTTTCCTATTGGAGGACTTATTTCAAGGGCAAATGAACTGTGTATTTCATATATATATATATATATATATATACACACACACACACACACACACACACGTATATTATATATATTTCTTCACAACAAAAGTTAAATATTTTTTCTATATTTAAATCCAAATAACTTAATTATTTCATAATTGAAAACAATACATGAAAAGTAGAACTACAAAGGTATATTACAAATGTACAAAAGTAGGACACAAATGTTTATGTATTCTAACCTATTTGTTTTTTAAACAAATGTATAGAAACCTAATAATTCATGAATTCTACTGTAAAATGCCTAAAATTTAAATTTAAAATAAATTATATTATTTGGTTTTGAAAATGCAGCTGAAAAACTCTGTAGCAAAGAGCTATTTTATGAATTCCATTCCTGTTCTAAAGATAGCACATCTTGACATGAGAGTTTTCATAGCGTTAACATGGTTGTAGGAAAAAAAAAATGGTTTGATTTCCTTACCTTAGACTATATAAGCATGAGTCAATTTTTAATAATTTTTTTAATAAATTCCAGTTGATACTCTGTGTTGCCACAATTAAAATATCTAATGCAAAATTGACTAAATTTTAAAATGTTTTTGAAAATAGCAAATAATACTAACAACAAAACACTGACAATTTGTAGAAACTCCTCAGCATCAATTCAGTCATATAGTCATGTCTAGAAATGAGCAAAATTTGGAATTATAGCTAAATTTTGAATTATATCTAAATTATATTATAATAAAGGATAGCTTGAATAGGTGCATCCTAACTGTTTATGAAAATAAATGAAATTATAAATATCAACATTTATAGCAGGAAACTTAACACATCTATTTTATAACACTAGATACTCTAAAATACATTTGACCTGGTGCAATTTTTCCAGCAGATATATTTTTATATTTTTAAAAGACAAATTATATGTGAATCACCTGACATTTCCCAGTACATAGGGAACCATCAGTAAATGTGACAAGCCCATTGTGTATATTGGTGATGCAATCTATCCTTTCTGATTCAGCTCCATAAACATTCTCCTTTTGACTGCTTCCAAGGCCATCCTGGAACACCTAGAATGCGTCGTGAATCTTTACGGACAATACCGTCTGAAAATTCAAGCGTTTTTCCATTGTTTCAGAGAATGAAAACTACCTAACACTTATTATCTTGAAGTATCTTCTTATTTATCAGAAGTTTTACTAATTCAGCAAGTAAAATATTTATATGGCTCCCAAACATCCATATGTCTCATATATATTATATATATATAATATATGTATATAATATGTCTATATATTATATATAATATATATTATATATAATATATAACATATATTATATATTATGTTATATATAATATAATATATTTTATATATTATATTATATATAATATATATTATATATTATATTATATATTATATTATATAATATTATATATAATATATATTTTTATTATATATAAATAATATATATATATATATATATATATATATATATATATATATATATATTCCTACACACACACAGGTACACTTCTTTCCTCTGTTAGTATATATGACATTATCCACAATGGCTGATTCACAGAATGTAGACACATACTTTTAAAACTGTACTCCACATAAAGCCCCACATAAAGGGCTCTTGTGGCTGAGGGAAAACTTCGACTACTTTGTTTGAAGTGCCCTTCCATGCATTGGAAATACAGCAGTAAACAAAAGAAACAAAAATCACCAAAAGTCCTAGTAGAGTTACATTCTGGTTGCAACTTGACAGCCACTTCACACGCAGACACACACACACCCACACATACACACACATATACACACACTGCCAAATTAGAATATTTCTTTATTCTTCATAGCTACTTCACTCACACATTGTCAGCCAAACTAGAATATATCCTTATTCTCCTGTTTTTTAATGCTTAAGATATTTCCATTAAGAAAGGTTTTGACAATTAAATATCTTAAAGGCTACTTTACCATCTTAAATACCATTAAGAGACAAGAATTTACTATCTTTGGGAGCAAAGAGTGGATAAGAAATGTCATAAACTTTAACAGCAACAAGGAACAATGTATAGACTTAAAGTATAATTAAATATCATGAAGCTAATTTTGATTTTAAGCAGAAATATTATTTGGGAGCCAACTGACTGTTGACTATTGAATATTATATACACACTTTATAGTGAAGCTTGAAATAATTCAGGTAGTAAATCCAGCATCATTGGAGGAGGGAGAGGTAGAGGAAAAGAAAGAAGAGGAAGAGGAAGAAAAAGAGAAAGAAAACATACACAGAGCAAATACATAGATGAATACAACACAAAGGATCCGAAAACATACTATGTTATTTAGAATACTGGGAAAACTAGTCCCATTATCTTTTAAGGGGGCTTTCTATACCTTACCCCTGGGATAAATTCCAAAGCCTTTTACATGGAAGACAAAAGGCTGTACTGGCATGTTTCTTACGTTAGGAGTAAGGTAGAATTGGGCTGAAAGGTATGTATTAACAACTTCTGTCTTAGGCCTTTGGAGCTTATATGTGATTCTTAATGATTTGGTTTAGATTTACAAAGGAATTACAATACTTAGAAACTAAGAATTTTAATTTTCAGAAATGTCTATTTAGTTTATTAGACAAGTTTTGCTGTAGTCCTCCCTAACAATGTGGTATGTTTTGGAGCTGTGTCCCCACCAAATCTCATGTCAAATTGTAATACTCAGTGTTGGAGGTGGGGCCTGGTAGGAGGTGATTGGATCATGGGAGCGGAATCCTCATGAATGATTTAGCACAGTCTCCTTGGTGCTGTTCTTGGGATAGTGAGTGAGATAGTGATTGTTTTAAAACAATCAGATCTTGTGATAACTCCTCTCTCTCTTCCTCATGTTCTGGCCATGTGAAGTGCTGGCTACTCCTCCATCTTCCTCCATGAGTAAAAGTTTCCTGAGACCTTCCCAGGAGCCAAGCAGATGTCAGCATCATGCTTCCTGTACAGCCTGCAGAACCATGACCCAACTAAACCTCTTTTCTTTATAAATTACCCAGTCTCAGGTATTTCTTTATAGCAATGTGAGAATGGACTAATACAAAATGCTTAGATCTATCTCGTACAGTGTCCAAAACATATGACTAACTGAATGGAATGGCTTTCTGGAAGTATGTAGCATGGCTATTTTCTACACATAAAATATATATTTGAACACTAGCATACTCATATTGAAAACAAAAATAATTATAAAATAAGGGTCATCCCTTTCTAAATTTGAAAGTGAATTTATTATAGAATACATATTCCAATTCCTCACAAATATAATCAATAACTCATTCTATTAACTTTATTTCTTAACAATGTGCTTTAATTTCCAATAGCACATACTCATATTAATGCAAAACTTAAGTGCAAATTTACTGATTTTACACCATACACCTACATTTTTCAACTATTCTTTGAAATTAAAATCACAAATATAATATGTAAAATATCGAACAAGAACAAAAAGACATTAATCAGGCTTACTGACAGCACAATGCAATACATTCAGAAAGCACACTATAGTCTTGGTTCTAAACTTTCTTTCCTCCTCCCATACTGAACTCTGCTGTTGCTATGCAGCTATCCAACAAGCACACCCTGGCTTTCTTTTGTATGGGTGCTATGCTGTTGCCATGGATATAGCTATATCTATATTTTTTTTCAGCTCCTCTTTAAAAATATAGTATTTTCTACCACCTTAAGAGAACACATAATTTTATGGGCTCAATACAGTCATTTAATGTAATAAAAATTTTACTAAATTTCAAATCTTTAATATCAATCTCGGTGTAACTATAAATATATTCAAAACTCTAACATGTGGACATATCTACTATGTTTTTAATACTAATGGAATGCTCACTGACATACAGCAATTACACAGAGCCAGAAATCCATTTTCAAAAATCCTATTTCCACTTAGGGGGAAAAATCATGAAAAACTTGAAAAAATAGTAATAAATCAATATCTAGTCTGTAGACATCTGAGATTCATTGTCTTTATCATTTCCTGTGGATGACTAAGTATGAAATGAAGTGGGATGCTAACTAATCATTGCCAAAATTAAAACCACAGGGTAGATGTAAGACCACAAGCACAAGAGAACATGAATCTTTACACCAGCTGACAAATGAACCAGAGTTCAGTTCAGATTTCAAAGTCAATTCACTGATGTTCCACCATCAAAATTTAACACATTGAAATTAAACTCCACAGTACTTCCATATGGTGATGGTTAATTCTTTGCAAAGAATGCATTAGAAAAGAGAAACTTTTACATTGTGGTGAAAAAGTGTGCTGCCCAAATGAATTAACTGATGTGGAGATGGAATTGAGCAAGTGACATTAGTAGGGTCCCAGCGTCTTTTAGATTATTGGCATTGCTGGAAAAAAAAAAACACTTCTTTTATATTACCATAGAGTTTACATACAAATAATCACTCAGTTGCTAGTCTCTCTTCAAGGGATCAGGAAGAAATTTGTCATCATTCAGTGAAATTACAAGTACTAGGAAAGTCACCCAAAGCACACGAGCAGCCTACTTTTCCCCACATGTAAAGTACATATTAGAAGTGATCGAGTGATCGAGGTGATATAGAATTTCAATTAAGAATGTTGATTTTGGGGCCAGACTGCCAACTTCAGATTTTGGTTCAGTCACTCCGTCACCTGGCAACCTTAGCTGAGTTTATTAATGATTCGTACCTCTGTTTTCTCATCTACACATGGGGATAATAATAGTTACCAATTTTATTAGGTTATTATGATGATTAAAGTACATTACACATATAAAACACTTAAAATAATGTATGGTATCTACTATATTTCAAAGAGGCTTAAGATTGCATGACACATTAGAGACACTAACAGGTTAATATTGGAAAAAATAATATTGGAGGGAAAAGGGGCTTTTTGCTTAAAAACTTTATATTTCTGATATTGCAAAGTATATTATTTAGTAATTATTGAGGGCTCACAGAGGAGATATAGTATTATAGGTACCATTTTGGTTGTGTAATTTAATTAGTCAAATTTACACTTACAGAGGAGATATAGTATTATATGTACCATTTTGGTTATATAATTTAATTAGTCAAATTTACAACTAAGACCAACTAATTTTCAGAGAAGCAAAATTGTACCCTGAAGAGTGAACTAACGCTGTTAGCCAGAAGCAACTACATCATATGACTCCACACTTTAATCCATTTAACAAATTTGGTAATCTGAAAAACAAAACAAAAACAAAAGGATTTCAACGAAGAACTAATTTGTATTAATCTATAAGTATACATATTTTTGTCCAGAAATACTTGAGGCAGCTAACGAATATATATGCAACATAAGTCAACAAAATATACTTAAAATACATAGAAAAATGAGACAAAAATGGAGCCAAATCAAATATGTAGAGGTGGAGTTGGGGGAGGAAAGAAATTTTGTATTATAAATACCTGATATCATTTAATCTTCACAAAAGATCTGTGTTACAAATTTCACAGATAACAACCTGAGGATCAACAAAGCTAAATAACTTTTTTTTGAAGAGCTAGTAAGCAATGTCTTCAAAAATACATATGCTAAGGAAGCAAAGGATTTTTTTTTCATTTGGAATAGAAATGGTATGTTTCAAATAGATGTACTCTTTCTCCTAAAAGATATAATCTTTCAATTATATCATTACACAAAAAAATCAACACACACAAGGACCTACCATATCTAAAACAAAGGGCTAAGTGATACAAAAAAAAAGTAAAAATGCTTCCCAAACTTCATTGTTAGCCTTGCTTTGCTGATGCTAACAAATCAAGGGCCCATTATACCACATTAAAGATCAGCACTTTCGAATGTATACTTTAAACTAAAATAGTTTTTTCACATAATTAGACCATTTTTAACCTGTTGGACAATTTTGCTTACAACAAACGATATTTTCTTCTCCAAAGCAACAAGTATAGGATTATTATTTGTGCAGCCTGGCACCTCTACAGCTATACCACAGGAATGGCTTAAAAAACAATTTAATACCTATATATAATTTAAAAGACACTGAATAAATGAAACTTTATTAGCTATCTGTAAGGCTATTAAAATAAGCTCTAGCCATCTTTCCAACCTTCTCCAGAAGCAATGATCAGTTTTCAATGGTAAAGAACAGAAACCAGCATCATGGGAGGCCTCATGCATTAATAAAGATTTGTTAACTCCAGTGTATCTTTTTTGGGGCCTAACATCCTTAGTCTTTCATTTTTCAGAGCCTGTATTTAATATATTTTGCAACTGATCTAGTTTTTCTTCTTGTAAAATAATAGATTATAAAATATACTGTTCAACCCCGCCATATATCTCCATTAACATGAGGTTTAATTATTGGAATGTAATTTGTATACAGAAGATATTTGTTTTAAAAATTATCATTGTAATAAATAGTAATATTTAGCATCTATGTACAACAGCTGAAAGTACATAAACTTTTTTGCTTCTTTTCCATCATTATAAGTGTCTATCAGGGAGTAATGCACTCTCCATATCTCCATATATTTTGCCAAGAAATTACACAAAGCCCAAACTCATGGCAACAAAAACATCTAAACAGCTATTGACATCATCTTGGATCCCCCATACCCTTCATCAAGACGCAAGATAAATGGAGAACACTCTAAATTAATTGAAGACAACAGGTAAAAAAAATTAAACTTTATGTACATAATCATTTTATATATAATTATGCCAATAATCATACAAGTACATGTTTAAATATTTGATTTGAATAATAAATTTAGTTGTCATTTTGCATACCTTGTTATTCTGGTACCAAATATTTGTTTAAAAAAATGGAAAATACAATTTTAGCCTAAATAGTCATATAAATGGGTCCTGGAGTAATTTCCTTTACAAAAATAGAAATATTGATAAACTTAATTATTAAATTATGTGTAAATAAATATATAAAGGTTTATTTTAAAAATTTTAACATTTAAGGTAGATGAAGGCAAAATAAATAAAATATACTGGTTTGTGCACATAAAAATATATTTTATAATTGAGATTAGTAAACATGAGCAAAATCATAAGACAGCATTAACAGGTAGCAAATGAAATATTTTGATTCTTACTTATGTTGTTAATTAGGCATAAGGTATCCTATTCCACAATATGTTGATGGTAAATTTAAATGGTTGAATAATAGCTCAACTTGATTAAAAATTAACAAGCATTTCTCAACTTTGAAAAGAATAAAATATCTAAGATTCTTTGTGTACACCATGTTAATGGGTAAAGTGTGTGGGGTGTGTGCATGTTGTGTGCTCAAGATAGGGAATAGTCCAAATTTCAACTAGTATATTTTTGATTGAATTAATATAGTAAATATAAACACAGGATATTTGGAAATAATTTGAATTTTCAACATAATGTGAAAATTAAAACCTAAATTATGAAAATTTTTATTATGTCAAGGACATACCAATTGAGAGGCTTTCATTAAATACAATCCTTAAACTGTAAATCCAGCACTAAACCAATACAATTTTCATTTACATACACAAAAAAGTGTTGTCAATCCTTTATATGACAACCACATATACAGTGCACAAATTTTAAAATAAATCTCTGAGAGTGGTTTGAAGCAATACTTAATAGTTTAATATGTCTAATCTTTTGATAAAATTTAAGTTAATCTACAGGGCTGGGGGTGATGACTTAAAATCCCCTTAAATTTTTAGTTTTTTTAATTAAGTACTTTACCTTGGAAAAGTCATACAACATCTCTCCAGGCATCATTTTTCTAATATCTAAGTTTTTTTTTTAATGATCTCTACAGCCTCTTTCAGCTCTAAAATTATATGATCTAAGATACAAAAAGACAGTAATTTTTGCTGTACTTTAGATATCTAAGTAAAAAAACTAATGAGCTCAAAACAGTATTACAAAATTCTACTAACCACATACGTTGAAATATTGGGTAGTGATATAGTTTGGCTGTGTCCCCACTCAAATCTCATCTTGAAGTCACACATGTTGTGGAAGGGACCTGGTGGGAAGCAACTGAATCACAGGGAAAGGTCTTTCCCATGCTATTCTTGTAATAGTAAAGTAGTCTCATGAGATCCGATGGTTTTATAAGGTGGGGTTTCCTTGCACAAGCTCTCTCTGTGCCTGCCACCATCCACTTGACATGACACGACTTGCTCCTCCTTGCCTTCCACCATAATTGTGAGGCCTCCCCAACCATGTGGAACTATGAGTCCATTAAACTTCTTTTTCTTCACATTCTCAGGTATGTCTTTATCAGCAGCGTGAAAACAGACTAATAACAGTAAATTGCTATGAGTAGAGTGGGATGCTGCTGAAAAGATACATGACAATGTGGAAGCAAGTTTGGAACTGGGTAACAGGCAGAGGTTGGAACAGTTTGGAGGGCTCAGAAGAAGACAGGAAAATGTGGGCAAGTTTGGAGCTTCCTAGAGACTTGTTGAATGGCTTTGCCCAAAATGCTGATAGCAATGGGGACAATAAAGTCTGGGCTGAGGTGGTCTCAGATGGAAGTGAGGAACTTGTTGGGAACTGGAGGAAAGGTGACTCTTGTTATGTTTTGGCAAAGAGACTGGCAGCATTTTGTCCCTATCCCAGAGATGTGTGGAACTTTGAACTTGAGAGAGATGATTTTGGGTATCTGGCAGAAGAAATTTCTAAGCAGCAAAGCATTCAAGAGGTGACTTGGGTGCTGTTAAGGACATTTAGTTTTATAAGAGAAGCAGAGCATAAAAGTTCAGAAAACCTGCAGGCTGACAATGTGATAGAAAATAAAATTCCATTTTCTGAGGAGAAATTCAAGCAGGCTGCAGAAATTTGCATAAGTAACAAACAGCCAAATGTTAATCCCCAAGACAATGGCAAAAATATTTCCAGGGCTTTTCAGAGGTTGTCACAGCAGCCCCTCCCATCACAGGCCCAGAGGCCTAGGAGGAAAAAGTGGTTTCGTGGACCAGACCCAGGGTCCCCATGCTGTGTGTAGCCTAGGGACTTGGTGCCCTGTGTCCCAGCTACTCCATCCTTGGCTGAAAGGGGCTAATTCAGACCTCAGGTCATGGCTTCAGAGGGTGCAAGCCCCAAGCGTTGGCAGCTTCCATGTGGTGTTGAGTCTGCAAGCGCACAAAAGTCAAGATTTGGGGTTTGGGAACCTCTGCCTAGATTTCAGAGGATGTATGGAAATGCCTGGATATCCAGGCAGAAGTTTGTTGCAGGGGCAGGCCTCTCATGAAGAACCTCTGCTAGGGCAGTGTGGAAGGGAAATGTGGGGTCAGAGCCCCCACACAGAGTCCCTAATGGGGCACCGCCTAGTGGAGCTGTGAGAAGAGGGCCACTTTCCTCCAGACCCCAGAATGGTAGATCCACTGACAGCTTGCACCATATGCCTGGAAAAGCCACAGACACTCAATGCCAGCCCATGAAATCAGCCAGGATGGAGGCTATACCCTGCAAAGCCATGGGACAGAGCTGCCTAAGACCATAGGAACCCATCTCTTGGATCAGCATGACCTGGATGTGAGATATGAAGGAGGTCATTTTCGAGTTTTAATATATTATTTTTTTGAGATGGAGTCTTGCTGTGTTGCCCAGGCTGGAGTGCAGTGGTGCAATTTTGGCTCACTGCAACCTCTGCCTCCCGGGTTCATGCCATTCTCCTGCCTCAGACTTCTGAGTAGCTGGGACTTCAGGTGCCCGACAACACACCGGGCTAATTTTTTGTATTTTTTAGTAGATACAGGGTATCACTGTGTTGAAATTTATATATATATAATTTTTTCCCCATTTTGCCCTAGTATTTTCATGAAGGGCTAATCCAATAATACTTCCTTACAATTAATTAAATGAAAAAAATTCTTTTATGGAGAAACATGATATATGTGCCCTGAATCGCTTATTCAGAATTACTCAATTTACATTACTTTCTTGTTTCAAAAAAATATCAGTAAGCAATTTAATAAAATACAACCTCAATACAATAATGTGCTTATATTAGTTTTGTATGTTCTTACATAATACAATTACCTATTAAATTGCATATTCATCAGGCATTTTTTCTAACCTAATATGCAACTTTGAGCACATTTCCTCATGCTTTTGGATTTCCAACAAAGTCCAGCCTATTTCACAGTTGATGCAGTGTGTGAATAATGGGATTACAGGAAGAAGAGAAGATTGAATATTTATTAATTTGTGATATTTCCAACATCTCCAATGTAGCTAAATGAGGAGCACAAAAAAAATGTGTTCAACATGATACCTTTACTGGCATTAAACAGTTTCTCCTTTTCTCTCACTTTCTTATTTATGCAGATAGTTAAGATGAGAATAAATGAAAAGAGATCCCACGCATGGAATGGCATTAATCAGTAACCTCTCTTTTTCTCTTAACAAAATGAATACTGATAATAGTAGAACCTTGTTTTTGTAGAGGATACTATAATTTTCAAAGCTTTACACACTAAATTCACCAAGACATACCTAGTCACAAGATGCAATGAATAATAGCAACAAACAAATTACAAGGGCTAAAAAGATGTTAAGCACACTTCTTTTAGCACCTGCAAATTTGTACAAACGTTTGTGCAAAAATTCTATGGTTTCATGAACATGATTCTATGTCTTTCTTATAGATTCTGAGCAGAACATAGAAAACTAAATGGTATAAATTTAAGTTTATAAATTATATCAATTTTAAGTTATACTTAAACAACATCCTTTCTGGTCCACAGTCCCATGATTTGATTAAAATATTAAAGGAAAACTTGCTTTAGGTTCATTTTCCTGATACACATTTAAAACTCTAAGGATGCACTCTACACTGTCATGGCTGCCTATTTTAGGGTCAAAGATTGCAGTACTCACATATACCCCTCTTGCTGTCTGGTTTATTCTCTTGTAAGGTGGCTATTCATTTTACATAAGTCTGTCTCAGGTATGGTATGTTTACACTTTTCATTATATCCACATATTCAGATTGATAACCACAGATCTGAACCTACCACGTTTCATCCTTATTTCTACTTTATATTTAACCTTTTATTTATGGAGATCCAGATTCAGGTCTATTCCCTACACTTGACTCTATCCCCTTCAAGAATTCCTATTAAAAATGTGCTTGTAGAATAACTCCAAGTTAAGATTTGCGCTACTCTTATCCCAGGTTAATACCCAATCTCAAAAGTTACCTGTTTTACCCAAAATTTTCAAAATCATCAAATTATTCCTCATCTATTCATAATGTGTTGATGAAAAGAGTCAAACTCTGTAAACAATTGGAAGAAACTTATTTGAAGAGATTTATTCTGAGCCACATATAGTGACCACGGCCCATGACACAGCCCTCAGGAGGTCCTGAGAACATATGCCCAAGGTGGTCAGGGTGCACCTTGGTTTTATACATTTTAGGGAGACATGAGACTTCAATAAAACCCATTTAAGAAATGCACTGGCTTGGTCCAGAAAGGCAGGACAACTCAAAGTGGGGGCTTCCAGCTTACAAGTAGATTTAAAATTTTTTCTGGTTGACAGTTGGTTAAGTTTATCTAAAGACCTGGGATTAATAGAAATGAATGCCTGGGTTAAGATAAAGGATTATGGAGACCCAAGTTCTTCTTTGCAGGGAAAGCCTTTAGGTACTAGGCTTTAAAGAGAATAAGTTGTAAAATGTTTCTTATCAGACTTAAAGTCTGTGTTGATATTAATGCTTGGGAAGCATAATGAGGCATTTTCAACCCCCACTTCCCATCATGGCCTGAAAGAAACAGTCTCTCAGATTAAATTGTAAAAGAGCCCTTGCTGAGGAGGAGGTCCATTTAGACGGTTGGGGTGGCAGGGCGGGGGGGCTTTGAATTTTATTTTTGGTTTACACATGCATTCAACACATATGTATCAAACCCATTACAGTGATGAAAAATAGGGAATCTACAGCCAGACTTCCTGAGTTAGAATCCTGTACTTGCTCCTTACTAGCTGTATGACCTTTGTATGTCACCTAATTTCCCTATTCCTTCATTTTCTCATTTATAAAATGGAGATATTAATAGTATGTACTCATCCTAGAGAGTTTCTGTGCATATTAGGGTGACAAGCAAAGTAAAACCCACAAAAGTATAACTGACATATAAGTAAAAGTTTGATAAATATTAGTTATAATTCAATTTGTATGAGTAGTACTAATAATTAGGATGTATTTAGCTCTTGAAAAAAGGTCATGGTCTCTGCCTTTGTGGAGTTTACAATCCAGTGATGAGGATTGATATTAAAGAACTTTGAAAGCAAGATGTTGAGCTAGAAAATATTCATATCCGGCATGAAATTATTTTGTCGTGACATTTGTAGTTAGAAGTATTTGCCATTACACATGAGAAAGAGAAAAAGCCCCTCACAGCTGGAAGCTGGCCTGGCACTATCAGCCAGGCTACAACATTGTTAGAAGTTGGGCTGACACAGCTGGGCCATGGTATTCTCTTACTGCACACAGATAATTTCATAGAACACCATCATCAGACAAAGCCACTCCTTGCTATGATGGATCTGGACAACATCAGACCACTACATAAAAATGTTTGAGCACAGACAAAACAAGAATATTGTGCAAACTACGAAAATGACCACACTTCCCCTATCTTGGCTATCACCAATGAGTGCTGATTCTTTACCAATCAGAATTTCTGCTTTAAAAGGAATTGTTTAGATTCACAAACAAAGAATTACCCCTGCTTCCTGACATTATCCAATGCAGACAAAGCACCACTGCTTTGAATATGCCCCCAAATTACCTAGCATGAACCTGTATCCTATAATACGTCCTTTCTAACACTCTCTGGCTGAAGCACCTATTCTTCATTTGTGTTAGTTTCCTTTGTTGCAATGTGCCAATAAAACCAACTTGTTTGAATAAAGATGAGTTTCTGGTAGTCATCGGCAGGAGAGCAGTGTCATGCATTTTGGCATTTTTTCATTAAGAATAATAATTTTCGGAATCAGATGTTCTTATTAATAATTTAAAATTTTCTGGAGTATAACTTATACAGCATCAGAGTCAATTAATTTCTAAATCATAAATTCCTCTGAATTTCTCTTGTACAAATGGGCATAGTAACTATCATATAAAAATAGGGGGAAAAAAAGTATGTGTATTTGTTAAGTGACTTAAAACAACAGAACAGGCATACCTTGGAGAAACTGGAGGAATTGCAGGTTTGGTTCCAGACCACCACAACAGAACAAATATCACAATAAAGTCAGTCACACAAAGTTTTAGGTTTTCCAGTACATGCAAGAGTCACGTTTACACTAAACTATATTCTATTGCATGAACAATAGCATTATGTCTAAAACAATAATTTAAATACCTTAATTTTAAAATTTCAGACAACCATCTGAACCTTCTGTGAGTCAGAATCTTTTGTTGGGGCAGGGTCAGGCCTTAATGTTAATGGTTGCTGATTGATCAGGGTGCCCGTTGCTGAAGGTTGGAGTGGTTGTGGCAATTTCTTAAAACAAGATAACAATGAAGTTTGCCACATCAATTGATACTTCCTTTCACAAAAGTTTTCTCTGTAGCATGCAATACTATTTGATAGCATTTCACTCACGGTAGAACTTCTTTTAAAATTGGAGTCCATGCTCTAAACCATGCTAGCTTTATCAATTAGGTTAATTAAATACTCTAAATCTATTATCATTTCAACAATGCTCACAGCATCTTCACCAGGAGTAGATCTCATCCAAAGAAACGACATTTTTTTGCTTATCTATGCGTAACTCCTCATCTATTCAAGTTTTGTCATGAGATTGCAGCGATTCATTCACATCTTTAGGCTCCACTTTCAATTATAGTTCTTTTGCTGATTCTACCACATTTGTAGTGAGTGCCTCCACTGAAGTCTTGACCTCTTCAAATGCTTCCATAAGGGTTAGAATCAACCTCTTCCAAAGCCCTGTTAATGTGGATATTTTGATCTTCTCCCATGAATAATGAATGTTCTCAGTGGCATCTTGAATGGTAAATCCTTTCCAGAAGGTTTTCAACTTTCTTTGCCCAGGTCTATTATGAGAATCATTATCTATGACAGCTATAGTCTTATGAAATGTTTTTATTAAATAATAAGGCTTGAAACTAAAATTACTCCTTCATCTATGGGCTGCAAAATAAATGTTGTAATAGCAGGCATAAAAACAATATTAACCTCCTTGTACATCTCCATCAGAGCCGTCAAGTCATGAGGTCCATTACCAGTGAGCAGTGATATGTTGAAAGGAATCTTTTCTTCTGAGCAGTAGGTTTCAACAGTGAGCTTAAAAATTCAGTAAACCTGGCTAGAAACACATACATTGTCTTCCAGGTTTTGTTGTTCCATTTATAGAGCACAGACAGAGTAGATTTTACCATAATTCTTAAGACCCCTAGGATTTTCAGAATGGTGAATGAGCATTGACTTCCACTCAAAGTTACCAGCTACCTTTGCCCCTAACATGAGAGTCAGCCTGTCCCTTAAAGCTTGGAAGCTAGGAAGTGACTTCTCTCTAGCAATGGAAGTACCACATGGCATCTTCTTCCAATAGGAAGATGTTTGCTTTACATGGAAAGTCTCTTGTTTAGTGTAGCCTCCTTCATAAATTATTTTAGCTATGTCTTCTGGATAACCTGCTGCAGCTTCTACATCAGTTCTTGAGGCTTTACCTTGTACTTTTTGTTATGGTTACAGCTTTCATTTTAATCTTCATGAAGCAACCTCTGCTAGCTTCTAAGTTTTCTTCTACAGCTTCCTTATCTCTCTCAGACTTCAGAGAATTAAAGAGATTTAGGTCTTTTATTTGGATTAAATTGTGGTGTAAGGGAATGTTGTGGCTGGTTTTATTTTCTATCCAGACCACTAAAACTTTCCTCATATCAGCAGTAAGGCTGTTTTGTGTTCTTATCATTCAGGTGTTCTTAAAAGAAGCACTTTCTAGAACGTTCCGTTTTCTAGAACTTTCTAGAACTTTTCATTTGCATTTACAACTTTGCTAACTCACTACCAGGCCCACCCTTTGGTAACCATCACTCTACTTTCTACCTTCATGAAGTCTACTTTTATAACTCCTTATCTTTCACCACATACAAAAATCAACTCAAAATGTATTTCAGACTATCTCAGCTTTGATATGCCTTCCTCACTAAGCTTACTCTCTTTTAGCTTTTGATTGAAAATGAAAGATGTGCGACTCATCCTTTCACTTGAACACTTAGAGGCCATTGCAGTATTAATTGGTCTAATGTCTTTTTCTTTTCTTTCTTTTTGTTGAGATGGAGTCTCACAAGCAATTCTTCTGCCTCAGCCTCCCTGAGTAGCTGGGTCTACAGGCACCCACCACCACGCCTGGCTAGTTTTTGTATTTTTAGTAGAGATGGGGTTTTGCTCTGTTGACCAGGCTGGTCTTGAACTCCTGACCTCGTGATCCGCCCGCCTCAGCCTCCCAAAGTGTTGGGATTACAGGCTTGAGCCACTGTGCCCGGCCAATTGGTCTAATTTCAAAATTGTTTTCTCTCAAGGACTAAGGAGAACTGAGAAGAGGGAGAGAGATGGGAATGTCTGGAATGTGGAGCAGTCAGAATACTCACAACATTTATTAAGTTTATCATCTTACATGGGTGAAATTCATGGCTCCCTAAATAAATTACAATGATAACATCACAGATCACTGATCACAGATCACCATAACAGATATAATGATAATTAAAAAAGTTTGAAATATTGAGAAAATTACCAAAATGTGTGTGACACAGAGACATGAAGTGAGCACATGTTGTTGGTAAAATTATGCCAATAGACTTGCTCGATATATGGTTGCCACAAACTTTCAATTTGAAAAAAACACAATAACTGTAAAGTGCAATAAAGTGAAGTGTAATAAAACAAGATATGCCTGTATTTATTTTTAAAGCCCCAGTGTTTGCTACATAAATATATATTCATATTAGATATCTAAAAAGAACCTATGAACAAATGTTTCAATTTACTATTTCTGATTGAGGTTTTTTAACTGGTAAATATTTTGTTTAGTTATTTCCTACCTCTTATAGTAAAAATATTTCCCATATTTGTGAAATAAGATTTTTGGCCTTTTTCCCCAAAGTGCCTCAATTCTATGTGGTTCTATGTAAGAATCTACAACTTTCCAAGATCCTAAATGTACAACATCATCTGAAAATGCAGTCAACATTTGCTAGACCATATGCTTTGAATAAATTAGTTTTTGCAATATATTAGCTAGCTGGATACTGAAGTGTGTTGGTAGTGATATGCAAGGATTTTTCTGAACATGGCCTGTAGCTGAAGCATGTTACAGGTACATAGTTCAGTCAGCAGCATTTAAAGTAACTAAATCAGCCTTGTAAACAAGCATCTGTCCTTTGGCCCAGAGCATCTGATTAAAAGTGTTTGAAAAATTACAAATATTTAAGGAGTAGGTGGTTTGTATTTGCTTGATTACAATATTTAACAATTGAATTGGTTATGATCTCAGATAAGTCACCTTTCTATGTCTTTTTCCACAGACTCAGACTAACACTTTATTAAAGTTAGGACCATTAGTCTAACATTAGGGGAATCTCTGTGAAGGGGACATGTATGAGGGGAAATTCTTTCTTTAAAATGATAGAAAGTCTATTATTAGGTCATTGAGTCAAAAGATGTAACTTGGCACCTAGGAAAAAATAATATATTTCATATATTTATTATCATTAGCTATATTTTTGTGAAGTATATTACTGGCTCATTATTTCAATGAGCAAAAGCTGGTTTTTACCAGCTAGTAATCTGATCAAATTTTTAGGGCGATTATATCAGATTTATTTAATCAGCAAGAGTAAAATAATTGGATGGACTAAGATCTCACACGGTCTTTTGAAATCCTGTTACCTAATACTTTTTTTTTTTTTTTTCACAATTTGCTCATTCAATTGAAACATGCCTTTAAAACCAGCATAAATCTGTAGCTACATAAGTGTCAGTTCCACTGAATGATCAAAAGCCTAGGAATTGTTCACATTATACGTGTCTTGACTTTATTAGAATTCTTGATTTTTCCTTCAGGTCATATTAAACACCCTTCAATTTTCTGGCTCATTCTTTGATACAAAGTCATGCTAGAAACATTAAATCATAGACTCCGAGTAGGATGAGACCTTAGAAGTCATCTAATACAACCTCCAACAAAACACAATAATCTCTCACATAATGCCCTTCATAGGATTATACTTAGATTATAAACTCTTCATGAGCTTAGGTTTCCTATAAACCACAGAATTTAAAAAAATCCAAAGTGAGTATAAAACTAAGCTGTAAGCAAGTAATAAATAAAATAAAAGTGAATGATTCACATCACAGTGCATTTATTAAAACTTTAAATATATTGTTATTGTGTCGTTGAGCCATTAATTGTCAATATTACAGCATGAGACAGCGCAAGGAGTCTCCAATAAAAATCCTTTTTATTTATTAAAAATAAAGGCCCATCATATTTGGAAAGTCTCAGGCATAAAACTTTCCAATGCCTCACCTGTTTCACTCCCTACCTCTTAATGCTTCTCAAGGACAACTCTAGGTCCTGAGCCTTAGAGAATAGCATTTAGGAATACAGCTCTAGACTGCTGGTTAGCCTCTTAAAAGAGACTATTACAGCTTATCTCTTCATTCTCTACTTCATGACAACCAAAAGGCATGTGTCCCTCAGCATCTGGTATTACCCATACTCTGAGACCCGCACCCATACTTGGGCCTAAAGTTACCCAAGACCCCACTTTCTCATGTTCTAGCCCATTTCACTTCTGAGTCTTACTTATTTCTCATTGCTGATTCCAGGCTACTATCGCTTCTTTCTCTTTGAGCTCACAACATGTGATTATATTACACTCTTCCTCTCCTCTTGCTGTCAACTAGCACTCCTGGTCAGTGGGGTCCAGGGTGCTACAATTTTCATTTTCAAGAGATCATTTGGAATTTACAGAACTGTCTAAGAAGACAAGTTATATATGTGCAGTCCAATGAGAGATCAGAGTAGCTGAAGTAATGATGCTAGTAGTTAACACAGATCAAACAGAGATTTTTCACCTGCCCCCTTCTGGCCTATTCTCTACAAAGAGACACATTTTAAAAATCTTATCATGCCATTTCTCTGCTTAAATCTTTAAATGACTTCCAACTTCACTTAGATGAAAATACCATAGCTTATGTATCCTAAGTGATCACAGCTACACATCTCCCTTTAACGGAAACTTGCCCTTTCTGCCCAATGCCCACTATATGCTGCCAGACTGGTGTTTTAGTCACCCCTGTATGTAGATCTTTCTTACCTAAAGCAATTCTCTTTCCCTTTGTTTGCCCTTCCTCTCATTCCTCCTCTCATTCTTTCCATGGCAAGCTCCTTCTGATTCTTAAAACTCTCAGCTGAAATATCAAACCACTTTTCCTACTACTCTCAGAATCAGACCACCCCCAAACCATGCTCAACATCCATCCATTGATTTTTCCTGACACTGAAAATTTTGCAATTTTATTGATGTACATGCACATTATTTTATCATTGTTCTCTTTCCCATTATAAATTAAGTCTCAACTAACATGTGTAGCAAGGCTTATAGGATTAGAAGATCACCATTTGCCAACTATCAACCAATTCAGGTAGAAATCATCCATGGAGGTTAAAACTAATGGATAAAAGTCTGAAGAGTAATAGGTAATCACACAGTGCCAACAGTGCATAATTTGAATCTAATCATGAGGAAGGAAATAACAGACAAACTCAAATTAAGGGACATTCTACAAAATTAATGGCAGAATGTCAATGGTAGGAGCCACAAAAAGAATTCAAGAAATATTCGAAATTGAAGGACTATAGAGGTATGACAACAAAATGAATCCCCATGATCTTTTATTTACTTTTCTATAAAAGACATTTTTAGGTATGTGGTTTGCAAATATTTTTTTTCCAGCACACAGGCTGCTGTCTTATTTTATTGTTTCTTTTGCTGTGCAGAGATGTTTAGTTTGATATGCCCCCATTTATTTATCATTGCTGTTATCGTAGCCTGAGATTTTGTTACAATATCAAAAATCATTGCCAAGGCCAATGTCCAGGAGCTTTTCTCTCATATGTTCTTCTCACAGTTTTATAGTTTCAGGTCTTACCTTTAGGTCTTTTATCCATTTCTGAGTTGATTTTTCTATGTGGTGATTTGATTTCTTATGTAGCTTATAAAGTAAATTTTGATGTAATTCTAGATAATAATAATGCCAAAACATTTTGGGACAACAGCAACATTTTCGGGAACTACTAATTCCCAAGGTGGTAGATACTAATAGTAGTCAGTTTTCCTTGAGTGCCTGCCATACGTAATATATGGCAGGCACTTTGCTAAGCTGGTTGTATGGATTACCTCATTTATTCCTCACAACCCTGTTAAATGTATACTATTATGCCTATTTTTGAAGAGCACAAAATAGGTTTAGATAATTTTGTTTTTAGTTTGTCAAATGTTTTCTAGCTCTCAAGGGAACTAAGGAAATTAGAGATCTTACACCATTCTATCTGATTCCAAGGAGTTGAGATAAGGAATGTAATATGGGAAACTAAGAAACATGGAGGATTTAAATGTGCAAGATTGGCACTTAGCTGGCTTCTTGATAGTGGGGATATAAATTTAACATTTCTGAGCCTGTTTCTTCATCTACAAAAAAGAAAGTATTATGCTATTTTATTGATATGATAAGCAAGTTTTAAAATAAGGTAATATAAAAAAGACATAGTGTCTATAAGAGCAAAGTACAAGGGAAGTACATAGTAATAATACATAACAGTAGCCAACATTTGTTATGAACTTAATATAGATGAAGTGTTTCATATTTAATCTTTACAGCAATTCTTTGAAATACATCTTTTTATTATTCTCATTTCTCAGATGAGGAAACAGCTCTTGTAAATGAGGTTGAATAAAGGTAGCAATACCAGTGAGTGGCAGAGAAGTGATTACAACTCTGATCCAGCTGACACCAGAATCACCCATCTTAAGCACTATTATATGCTGATTATTTATTTTTGGTTAATATTATTTTATAAACAAGTCATAATTGTATTACATTATGGAATACAGTGTGATCTTTTGATGTATGTATACAATGTGGAATGATTAAATCAAGCAAATTAACATGCATCACTCAGTTTCTGTGGTAAGACGTTTGAAATTTACTTTCTTCTTAGTTTCTTTGAAATATATAATACAATATTATTGATTCTATTGTTGTGGAATAGATTTCAAATTTTATTCTTCTTGTCTAGCTGAGACATATTACCTTAGACCAGGAACTTTCCATTCCCTCACCACCACCACCACCACCACCACCAGCACCACCCAGTCTCTGTTAACTCTCATTCTACTCTCTACTTCTTATGAAATCAATGTTTTTTAAATTCCACACATAAATGAGATCATATGGTATTTGTCTCTCAGTGCCTGACTTATTTCACTTAGCATAATGTTCTCTAGATTCATCCATGCCATCCCAAATAAAATAATTTCACCCATTTCTAAAGCTACATGATATTTCACTATGTATATGTACCATATTTTCTTTATCCTTTCACCTGCTGACAGACACTTAGGTTGATTTCATATCTTGGCCATTATGAATAATGCTATAATGAACATGGGAGTGAAGATATTCCTTCAACATACTGATTTGGTATGGAATTCCAAGAGATGGATTTGCTGGATTATATGGTAGTTCAGTTTTCAGTTTTTTGAGGAACCTCCATTTTCCATAATTGCCATACTAATTTACTTTCCCACCAACAATGTAGTAGATTTCCATTCTCTCCACATTATTTATGCTGCTTATTTTTTGCTGGGAAACCACTACTCTTAAAAATTGATGAAGGAATGTAGTAGGAAACAGGGCAGTGGGTCAACAGCCAGTTTAGATACAGACTTGAATGTATCAGTTTTAAAATATATTCTGTGTATCAGTACTTTGAACCGGGATTACAGGGGGAGTCTCACTCAGAGAGTTGATGCATATTTAGGACAGGATAGAAAATCTTGACAGGTAAGTAATCATAGCCTATGGCAGAAATCCAGACGAAATAAGTAAATATTTTCCCTTTGTTTTTGGAGCTCTGCACTTCCCTCTGTTACTACCACAAAAAACTACTCTCTACTTCTGCTGAACACAGGTGGTATCATCAGTAAGTCTCTTTAACCACAGAGACATAGCCAACAGTGATTCACCCTTTAAAGTCTATACTAGACCTCTCCTCAATGAAAAAAAAATCTTTTGATTTTAGCTAATAATAATCTCTACCCTTAATGACTTATTGCAACATTCATTTTTTGTTATTGAATAATACTATTCTGTATTGGATATAATTATTCCACATAAATAAATTTGAAGGGAAATAATCTATATCAAAACAACTATGCTTTAAGAAAGTTAACAGAGGTAAGAATTGACTTTATGAATGAATTACAGCTATTTTTACACGTGTTCTGGTGATGAACATAAACATCTTGAACTCACTCAACTTTGCATAACAGAAACCTGTTTATTTCTTCCTCCCTTCCTTTCTTAGTTCTTTTAAACATACATTTAGCATGCTAACTTTTGCAGAGGCTACAAGCAGTGTTTAAAATGCTTAAGCATGTTCATAAGAAAAATTATGAAAAATCTTACCATGAGTGTAGAAATGTAGTTTGATGATAATCTTTTTACTTTTTTATAATTTGATATTTAGACACATTATACTGCACTTTGGGAGGCAGAGGTGGGTGGATAACTTGAGGCTAGGAGTTCGAGACCAGCCTGGGCAACATGGTGAAATCCCCATCTCTACTAAAAATACAAAACTTAGCTGGGCATAGTGGCGGGTGCCTGTAATCCTAGCTACCTGGGGAGTTGAGACACAAGAATTGCTTCAACCCAGGAGGTGGAGGCTGCAGTGAGATGAGATCATGCCACTGCACTCCAGCCTGGGTGATAAAGGGAGATTCTGTCAGAAAAAAAAAAAAAAAAAAGTAAACTTAATTCTAGACACAGTAATTAATAAAATTCACTTTAAAAATGTGTTATTTTGAAAATTTTGTTAAAAAATATCACAACCAATGAACACTAAGCTAAACCCTTTTCCATATGATATTTTAGGAACATAGTATGTTATTTCAATTCAGTATAAAATAGAAGTCTAAATGACAAAATAATTTTTAAAAATAGCATATTCAAAGATAGGTATCCAGAAAAAAAATGAATCACCGTAAATTGTGTGTTATAAATCATCAGTAATTGACCATAGTTTAATAATCCTTTCAGTCATTGTGTATCAATTTTGAAGAGTGTATGACTACTTAGGCAGTAGTGGTTTTTTTCTCTTATCAAACATGTCCTCCTTAATAGTAAGTTTCATGTTATTTAACTAAAACGCTAAAGGTGACCTTCAAGAGTTCTTATTGTTCTGAAGTCAAAATGAGTTCATACTTTTAGACACACCTCATAGCTGAAAAATTTTGTCCTGTTTGAGAGCCTGTAAAAAATGCAGAAGACACTAGAATATTGTTTAAAAGACTTCCAAAGATATGCTTAAGATCACTGCTCTAAAGCAATTCACATGGGGGGACTTGTTAAAATATAGCTTCTGATTTGGTACATCTGGTGTGGCATCTAATACTCTACTTCACTAGTCAGCTACCAGGAGACACTGATGCTGCCACACAGAGTGTTGTCTGCTGGCCATACTCTGAGTAGTAAGATTTTGAAAGCAATGCCCTCTCAGGTATATTCACTTAACAGTGTAAAAATTAAAAATAATTGTCACTCAAAGTTTTTTTTCTCCTCTCTCTTCTGAAGAAGGGAATATATGAAGTCTTGTATTAGAGCTGGATAAAAGCTGTGGAGTCAGACAAAACTTTGAATATTGACTGTAAACTTGGATAATCGACCAAATGTTAAAATAATATCTACTACACAGGGCTGTGATACGACGTAAAAAATAATATATACAATGACACAATTAAATTCAGAAAATACGAATCTGACTCCTCACTTCATAATTACCTCAAATTATTTTATCCTAAATGAGTACAATGTGTTTGGTTTCTGAATCTTTTCTTGTTTTGATTTAAAACTTCTTAGGTCTCAAAAAATATCCTTTTTAACTTCTGAAAATATTTCAACTTAGTTTGAAATAGGTTTGTTTTGGTTAGTTTAAGATTGTTTAAATGAGAAGATTTAAAATATTTGTAATGCTGTTCAACAACAAAAATGTAAAATAATAGGTGTAACTATACATTTACAAAGAAAACTGAAATTTATATATATTTATGAGAATCTGTGGATTTAATTTAATTAAATAATTGGAAAATACATGCTACAGACATTCTGCAGTATTTCAAAATAATTTTAGAAAAATTTTTGGAATAAACAGAGCTTGTTTTAAGCCACATTAAGACAAAAATGTTTCATTATTTTGCAATCTACTTTGTTTTTGGCAAAAAAAATCATACTTCCCACTTTGATCACCCACTTTATTCACCAAATTTGGCACATTCTAACTTCTGCTAATAGCAAAAACAGAACAGACTCTTTCTGTTTGAAGATTTGCTACTGTTGAGAATTATTCATAGTACAGCCCACAGAATCCAAAGATAACACCAACACAAGAGCCCAAACAGCATGAGCAATGGTGACATTATTGTATTGTTTGGCTCCTATGATAACTACTGTGAAGGGGACATCATTCATGCCAATAAACCAGTCTGAGTATGTTGTTCAATTACTCTGATTTTCTAAGTGTCTCACCTCATATTTTTCCATCTGGGTTTGAATGAGAAACAGAAATACTTGGATTTTTCTCTTCTCATTATATTTCCAGGGCACTCTCTACAAATAACATAATACTGCAGAATTTGCTAGCATTGTAACCCCTGCCACTCCTCTAATTAACTGAGTTGATGATCCTAGAATGGAAAGAGGAAGCTGCATTAAAAGGCAGATGCTCAGTATACCACATTACTGTTGCAAATTCTCTGGCATTTATGGAAGCCAGAAGCCCAGATTACAAGAATCATGCGTACTTGAGGCCCTTCCACTATAACCAGGACACTGGCAACAAAGGAATTTGGAGACTTAAAAAAATTTACAACAGATGGGCAAACTTTTTTATATCCACTGACCCTCGCAACTACCTTTCCAACCTTCCCCCATCACAACCTACTTCCTCTGAGATTGTCCAGGTAGAGTTAGCTACAGCAGCCCTGTTTTCTAGAAATGACCATGCCAGATGGCACCTTCAGAGTATGAACACCTGGATCCTAAAAATATGTACTAGATACAGCAATACAAGGTTGTGAAAATCATCCTTGAGATTTTTACTGTTTCAATTATATAAAGGCTTTCCAGAACTTTTGTTCTGATATACAATTTACATACACAATTTTTTTTCTAATATACAATTTACATTGAATATTTCCATATACTGATACACTGTCTTCACGTAGAGTTATTTAATTGAACTATTATTTTTAATTTCAGAATTGCTTTGTCCATTTAGAGTTTAGTAGGAACATGTAGAATGACTTACCTGCGAAGGTTAAATAAAGTATTTGTTAAGTTATGGCTCTGATATCAGATCTTTTAATTCAATTTGCCTCCTAGAAAGGTCATTTGATCTCACTAAGCATTGCCTTATTTAACTGTGATTGAGGGTAATAATAGTACCTAACCTAATGGAGTTTTAGTTGGAGTTAAAGAAATATAAAACCACATTTCTTAAGAGTCCTTGGTACAGAGTAAACAATAAATAAAAATAATTACAAAACTCAGTTATGGGTGTGTTAAAGAATAAAAAAGTAGAAGAGACCTAGTCCTTACCCTCAAGCAACTTATCAGTCACCAAGCAATTTAAAATAGAACACAAATATTTAACCTAGAAAAATATCTATATCTTATCTATAAAAATGAAGACTTACAGTTGATATAAAAGGGGGAAAACCCCACAAAAGTTTCCTGTGGAGATCACTTTGAATCAGGATTGCCAATGTGATTTTTTAAGAGATATGGGCTCTGAAAGACCTGATGATTCCCTAGACTCAATATGGTCTTCCATACCTCTGCTTCTTCTGCCCCAATCCCTTCCACTCTCTACCTAGTATATTCCTTCTTATCTTTCAAGACTCCATTCAAACATCACTAATCTTATGAAGCCTCCATGATACCGTTGAACAATGCTGGGTGGCTGTGGAATGTGACTCTACTTTCACTTGTCTCTCATTGCTTTAAATTTGTTGATATGCATGCAGGTGTTCCCATCAGACTATGAATTTTTTTAGGAAAAGAACCGCATTTTTTTTTATTATTCTATGTCTAGAATCTGGCATATGGCACTCAGTAATGGTTTGGTTTTGTTTATCTGCCTGTGTTTTTATTCGAACTCATGAATGCATAAACAGGCAGAGGCAGCAGCACACAGGCTAATCCTAGAAGAATCAAAACAATTTTATGAAGAGGACAAGGAGTGGTGGGGGTGTATCCCAGCTGAAGGATAAAGATGCAGAAAAGAGAGAGGTAGGGCACAGTTACCTCCAACAAGTTGTCTTGGAATAGTATGAGATTAAAAAGAGAAGCTTGAGCCAGAATAAAGATTGTGGAACTGCATAGGTATAAATCTAGAGCCAATGTATTGCTTATAAATAACAGTAAGGGAAAACTAGGTAAAGCTCTCTGCTTAATTAAATATTTCTCCTTTTCTCCCTTCCTGTCTTCAAATACTTGCTGTATTCATAGAATTTCTTTCTTATCTCCAGAGGGAGATTAGGCTGCCCAAACCAAACCATTAAAGGTAGTTTACAAAGAAATACAATTCAGATAGATGAGAATTCTCTGCTCAGTAAGGGATTTAGAATCACAGGACTGCTGCCTCTGGTACCCAACTATAAAGATTTTTTTTCAGAAATAGTCAATATCATAGGTCACATATTTTAAAATTCACTTGCAATTAGAAGCCTAAGGGAAATTGCCTAGGAAAAAATGTTTTGGCAAGCTTTTAAAGCCTTTCATTGAGTTGGCAACTAGACAGACCATGCTGGCCTCCCAAGCAAGCAGAGCAGGTGTGCCACTTCAGAGATGGTAGAAAGGCTTCCAATTCCTAAACACCCGTCTAACCTGCCTCTCAGTAGCGCCTGATGTTTCTGGAGCAGAGATGCATTCCCTAGTGTTGAGGGGCTATGCTCTATTGAAATGCACAAACCTCTGTAAGAAGGGGAGAAAGAGTAAGCATAACACATGTTTAGTAAATGCAAACTGCCAGGCATTGTGCTGGGCTTTTCCTGTGCATTGTGCTGGGCTTTTCCTGTGAATTACATCCTTAAACTCAGCCCTATAAATTATATCTAATTATCTGATTAACAGATGAAAAAGTTATAGGTCAGATAAGTAACTTGCCAACATTCATGCAATCATTTCAGTATGGAGCTAGAATTTAACTTTAGGACTGTATGACTCAAAACTAGTTTCATGCTATTACTTTATAAAGTTATTTTTTCAATCTTTTTGATCACAGTGGTCCTAAGCTTTCCAACTGATCATTAGATGGAAGGAAGCATGCTTTGGTAAGAGAAAGAATAGAAGTCACATGAGAACACTACATGTTGGTGAGTACTGAAGGAAGAGGGACCATAAAATCGTGAAAGAAGAACAAAGAACAAAAACTTCACTACTTAAAAATTTGGTAGTTAGTTAAGGCCAACCAAACAGGATATCAGCTTTCCTCTACTAAAAAATTTAACTACAATATTTGTCTACACATTTTAAGGGACTTATTCATTGTTTTCCATACAGAAAAATGTTGCCTATGTAAGGCTTTCTGTGTATTTAGACGTATGTTACTATTGTTCAAAACATGAAATTGCAATTAGTTGATACATGCAAGTACATAATGCAAAAAAGTATGCATATTAGAATACAGCATACATATATGACTTCTATACTAATGAGAATGGCACATATATGCCTTACATTCTAATATGTATATTAGAATATATATTCTAACATTCATGATTTTTCTTATCATCAAATGAAATAGAAAAGCCTTTTCCCATCATTACATTTACCACATTTCTGTTTGAAGGAACACAAATTCATTGGTAATAAGTTAGTAGTAGACTAATGAAATCTGCATAAAAATCTAGCAATTGGCACAAAGTTATCCCTTTTGATATAATTCACAATAACCATATTATAATTTTATTTAGGTTATAGTATTAATGAAGTACCACTGATATTTCCCTTAAGTTCCCAATGTTATCTCTAAACTTTCTTCCCATTTCTACTTCCCTAATTCCTCTTCCTTGAAGAATTTCTAAAATATTGTTCCCCAAGTGTTTCTGTGTTCTTTTTATTCTTTTCCCAAGTGAGTTCATCCACTGCCAGGACTGCAAGAGATACTCATATAGCTAAGCTTTTATTAACTCTTCCCAAATTTCTATATATTCAATCTCTTCTTCTACCAACTAACTCTCCACAATATGTTATATATAGTATGTCCGATCAGATATGTACAATACAGATGCAACCATGTAATTCCTCTCCAGTGAACAACATGAAAGCTCATTACCGCTCTCAGTGCTTTGCACATTCTTGCCTTTATCTGATATGCCTTCTATGCTCTAGGCATCCCAGACAGACTGCTTAGCCTTCCTGGAACCCATCATGCCTCTCTGTTTTGACTTGTGCTGGTCCTTCTGTTATTTTCTTCTTTTCTCCTCATTAAATCCCTTCTCACACTTTAAGTCCTGTCTGAAATGCCAGTTATACCATGAAGTAAGCTGGAATGTTACTTACACCATGAAATACACTGAAATATTTCTAATCACATCAGATTTTCCTTCATCTAATACTTTGTCTATAACTGTGTAATGAAACTTGTCAAATATGTCTTATAACTATTTGTGATCATGTTATTTGTGATCAGCCCTGTCTTAATAGAGGTCCAGAAGGAGCTCTGTTTTAATGACTTGTTCAATATAGATTTGTCAAATAAATATGTATTTTAAAACTGTATTTAAAATATCATATTTTAAAATACTGTGACTCAAAGAACTAACAAGAGAAAGAACAGTCAACTACTCAATGTATTTATATTATAAATAAGCCTTTAATTAATCTTTTTATTATAGAAAATAATTCTAACTGTTCATGTCATCATACAGAAAAAGCTTGTATTATGTATTTATTTAACTAATAATGTGAAAATTATATAACAGGCAAGTGTAACATACTAAATGATCATTGATACTAAATGATCAAATTATATGTATGAATGGCTATTACAAAAGCAACTGTATATCCTTTTCCTTACCAACAGAGTGAAAGTACTTTGAAATACAGGTAACCTACCTGGGAAAGCTAAGAGAGCAGATTTTGAATTATTTTCAAATTTTAAATATTATTTTGTGTTTCTGTTTGTTTAACTCAGATCTGTTTTATTATCATAAACATTTTGGCTATTAGTATACTTAAACTCTAGCTTGAATATGGTTTTAACAAAATATGAAATATTAATGTTCTAGTTTTTCCTAATGATTTAAATGTCTAGAATTAAAATTGCAGCAAATAACTGCAAATTGACCTTCTTCCCAGGCACTTACCATTTACGTTAGGTATAATTCATTTAAAATTTAGCAGAAAGGCATTTTTTTTTCCAAATAGAAGTATTTTTAAACAGACACTTGATCCAAAGTTTGGAAATAGTGTCTCAGCCTGGCACCATTACCCTAATCCTCTTTACACTGTGTCTAATATAGACAGATTCACACTGCCTATAGGTTTTGTGGATCCGTGCATGTTGCTCTTAGAAACCATAATAATTTGGTAATTTGCTGGTTAAAGAAAAGAATATGGTATTCCAACCTTGCTAGATCATAGTTTGTTACAGAGTAATGATTTCATTTTGCTTTATTCACTTCCAAAATGTATGACCCAAGACAAATACCTCCCCCTGCACATCAATTTTTAAGCATGTTTCTGGGTTGGCTTTTTGTAAAATTTCAATCCTTTTTGCATTGATTTTTTCAGTGCATTAGTTACTATAGAAACAATGTCACTGAAATATGAAAAGCATAGTAGACACAGCAAAACACAGTAGACAATATATTTAAATATGCATATAGGTGTATGTGTGTCTGGCTATATGATATATATACATGCATAAACATCTATACATATATAGATACATGCGGTATGTGCTTGAGTGTGTTTACTGCACATACACACAAGTACAGAGTATTTATCTACATATAAATATGGTTAATACATATATGTAGCATATATGTAATATGCATATAAATTTTTTATGGCTGAGAATCTCATAAATCAGTGGGCATGTATGTTTTTAATATATAAGGAATGCATAAGTTAGTAAAAGAGATCATTAAAATAGAACGTTTTCCTAAACCTCTAATTTTTAAAAAATATATAAATATATAGCTAAAGGCAAAGAACAGTTTGTTTTGCACTTAAAATAGTGAACTCTAACATAAGAAAACCAGAAAATATATATACAAAGCAGAATTTTAAATTTTGCATCAAATACAATAAAACTATTGTTTCAGAAGAACCAAAAAACCCCAATAAATTTGGAGGAAATTTCTTTACTCTGTCATTTTATATAAAATTTTATTTGAAGACACATTTTTTTAAAATATGAAAGTTAGCAAATAAATTTCCCCAACTTAATACAAAGAAATATCCTCAATAAAAGAAATAAAATGTTATGACCAAGTATAAATATAAGATCTAGATTTCAAAATATTATGAATGAATGAATGGATGAATGAAATGCCATTTTATTTAGCATTTTAGTTTTTGAAAATTATAACCAGTGTTTTTTTCTCCTTCAACAATCTGCACATGGAGATCAACTTTTGCATATAGTTAACAAAAATTTTACTGTCTGGCATGGCTATAGGGCTGAATGAGAAGTTTGTGAAAACAAGTTGAAATACATATAAGAGAATTGATCTGTGTCACATACCTGATATCCTATAAGTACAAATGACCTCAATAAATTCCAGAGAACAGGCAAACCCTTCATAGTTTTTATCTCTATTTTACGTATCTTAAAACTTCTCTATATTTGGGGAATAATTATAAATATTGAAACTGAGAATTAATTTGTTCCAAATATTTTTGTTGTTTGTTTTGAAAAACACTCTGTTAGGAAAGCAGCTTGAAAAAGGGTAGAGTTTTGGCTTATATGTCATAACGTAAAGTTAAATAGTGTATGAGAGTAAGTCAGCTCTGTTAGCACACATTACCCTTATGACCTTTTTTTCTTCATAGTATGAAAGTCACCCTAAAAGAAATTTAAAATTCAATTATTTAATTATAGTTGTAGTAACATTTTAAATATTTACTTCATAAAAATCTATAGTCTAAATGCTAATAATTGCTCAAGCACACAATATAACTCTAGCTTACTACTTAAGTAGTAAAATTTTGCATGCCTATGTAGACAGTGCCTATGTAAAATTATCAATTAGTCCAAGGAAATAATGAGGTAAAAAAAAATCCATTTCAAAGAAGAGAAAAATCTACAGCCATTCTGAGCTATGTATCTTTTTAGAAACTACATACGTAATGTGGCCATGGCTGAAAACATCTCCAACTTAAAGGAGCTTACATTCTAGAGAGAAAATACAGATGATAAGCATGAAAACAAATACATTTCAAAAAACAGCATCATATATTGATGATTAGAAAAGGCAGCTTGAGCTAGGATAATGAGGAGGAGTCGCCATGAGTGAGTGACATCTGAATTGATTATTGAGTGACAAGAATAAGGCAGCATGTAAAGATCTTAAAACAAGGATTTCAAGCAGGGCACAATTTTCAGAAATAAACTTTGCGCAGAAGAACTTCATAAGCAATTTTCTAAATGATAGCGTAATAAAGGTGGGAGGTGGTAAGTTCAGAAGAAAAGTTTCATTGACCTATAAGTCCCCTTAAGATTTCTCATCTCCATTTTGTCTGTATTATGTTAGGCAATCATCACAGCAGTATCTGCTAATTCTAACTGTCTAGACAGGTCTAGGGCAACATTAATCATAAATAATTGAACCAAGTTTGTTTTACTTTCTATGCTATATAATTGACATACAGTTGGCATATAATAAATTCTGATTGACTTGCTGACACAATCTGTATAATGTATAAAATCTATGTCTCCAACAAAACTAATTCATATTTACTACTGAAAAACAAAATAATACCCAGAGAAGAGTAATATATTCTTTTAAAATTAGCTAAAACATTAAGAAAAAGTAAAAGGCATGAAAGAATACCAGAAATTCTGACTGCAAAAACAGAAACAATGTAATAATACTCAGGAAAAAAATAAGATACCATTTCAGAAATGAAGACTTCAGTGATATCAGCAAAATTACAGAGTAGGCAGCTACAAGCTCATGTACCCCACAGAAACATAAAAAAACCAGCAGAAACTATCAAAACCAAATTTGTCAGAACTCTATAAGACAGTCAAAGGTTCACAGCAACCAAGTAAATGCTGAAACCAGAAAAAGTCAACTTAAAAACAGTAGGGAAGCTCTATGGCATATTTATCTGTCCTCGCCCCACTCATTGATGGTTGGGTAGCAGTCTTGAAGATATTAGCCCATGTTCCCAGTGAGGAACGCTGGTCCCTGGTTCTGGAGGCAGCAGAGCAGAGCTTTTTCACAAATTATTGTGTAGATATGTTCTAACCTGTCTGGGAGCTACCTGAAGAGCCAGCACATGGCATTTGTCTCTCTTTTTGCCTAAATCGGAACTCACATTGGAAAAGTTTCGGCATTTCTTGAAAACATTGCAAGGCTGCAAAACATTCTGCGGATGCCTGAGGCAAAAGTTTATGGTTGAGAAATATAATAGACAGCTTAAGGCTTTGGCAGAAAATCTGAGAGGGAATTTTCTTGGGAAATTAGGGCAATCGATATGGAGGTTATGGAAAGGGCAATTAGGAAGTCATGTGCGTGACCAGGGCATGACACATGTTGAGAAATGACAAAACAAGATGTTAAGCTTTTAACTTGGGCTGATCCATATGTTCAGTGCAAGTCTGGTTAAGCGTTGAAGGAGGGGCCCCACACACAGCCAATCTGGAAAGGCTGGTAAAGATGGCTATTTGTGTGTTTATTTGTTTTAGATTTTAATTACTGGTGTTCAAGAAAACTTCTGTTTAAACACAAGCTAAGGAACAGAGACTTCAAGGAGGCACACAAGACGAGAAATATGGTCTCTGCAAAAATAGTTTGGAAAAGTCACTAGACAAATGATTAGAGACTCCAAAAACAAAAATAACAACAAACCCTGAGGAAGGAGGAGAATTTAATCTCCACAGTTACCACATTTTAATATTTAAAAGTCAATTTTTCAACAAAAATAACCTCATAGTGTATAAAAACAGGAAAGTGCAGCCATTCAAAGGAAGAAAGTAAATAGACAGAAACCATACTAATGAAGCCCAAACACTGGAAAAACTAGACAAAGACTTTAAAACAACTGTCTTTAATTAAGTTGAAAAATGAAAAAAAAAATTGATAAAGCAATAAAGAGAATCAGGAAAACTATGTATGAACAAAACAAAACTAAAAGTAAAGAGATAAAAATTATAAAAAATAACCAAAAAGAAATTCTGGAGATGAAAGAGTTCAAAAGCAGAATTGAGTAGGCAAAAGAGTTAGTGAACTTGAAGGTAAGTTAATATGAACTATCATGCCTGAGGAGCAGAAAGAAAAAGTAAACTAAAAGCTTAAGGAAACTGTAGGACAAACATACAGATTACTGGGAGTATCAGAAGAAGAGAAAGAGAAAGATATAATATTTAAAGAAATAATAACAAAAACCTTTAGCCAAAACTCAAACTTGATGGAAGACACAAAAGCATCTAGAAATCTGAAAAAAACTCCTACTAGAACAAATTTGAAGAGATCCAAACCAAGACACTTAATAATCAATCTGTTAAAAGCAAAAGTGTTTACCATCCAGAACAGACAAAGAACACCTGCTACTCAACAACAACAAATTTAAACAACCCAATTAAAGTATAGGCAAAAGACTTAGATAGGCATTTATCCTAATAAACCTACAAATGACCAATAAGCACATGAATGGATGTTCAGCATCATTAGTTATTAGGGAAATGCAAATTAAATCCACTTGAAATGCCACTTCACACCTAAGTGGATTAGTATAATGAAACAACAAACACAAAAAGCAGAAAATAACTTGTGTTGGCAATGAAAGCAAAAATTGACTGATGGGATTAGATAAAACTAAAAATCCTCTGCCTAGAAAACGTAACAATCAACGAAGTGAAAGGACCACCTGCAGAATGGGAAAAATATTTGCAAACTATTCACCTGACAAGGGATTAATATCCAGAAGATACAAGGAGCTCAAACAACTAAATAGCAAAAAATATAATAATAATAATAATAATAATAATAAAATAATCCAATTTAACATTTGGCAAGGGATCTGAATAGACATTTCTAAAAGAAGACATAGAAATAGCCAACAGGTAAATGAAAAAAATAGTCACCACTAATCATAAGAGTAATGTAAATCAAAACCACAATGCCATATCATCTCACCCCAGTTAGAATGGCTATTATCAAAAGACAAAAAATAAATGCTGCCGAGGATGTGGAGAAAAGGGAAATCTAATACACTGTTGATGGGAATTAGTACACCCAGTGTGGAAAACAGTGTGGAGGTTCCTCATAGATCTAAAAATAAACTACCATATGATCCGGCAATCCCACTACTTGTTATTTACCTGAAGGAAAGGAAATAAGTACATCGAAATGATATCTGCCCCCCATATTTATTGTAGCACTGTTTACAACAGTCAAGAGATGGAATCAACCTAAGTGTCCTTGAACAAATGAATGGATAAGAAAATGTGGTATATATACACATTAGAATACTACTGAGTCATTACAAGAGGAAATCCTGTCATCTGCAGCAACAAAGATGAGCCTGGAGGACATTATGTTAATGAAATATATCAGGCACTGAAAGATAAATAATGCATGATCTTACTCATATGTGGAGGCCAAAATACTTGAGGACACAGAAGTAGGGAACAGAACTGTGATTATTAGAGGGTGGAAATAGTAAATGGGAGGGAAGAGAAGGGAGAGGTTGGTTTATGGCTACAAACTTACAGCTAAATAGGAGGAAAAAGTTCTAGTGTTTCATAGCACTGTAGGGTGTCTATAGTTAAGAATAATTTATTATATATTTTCAAGTAGCTAGAAGAGAGGATGTTGAAAGATCCCAACACAAACAAATGATAAATATTTGAGGTGATGGTTATGCTAATTACCTGGATCTGATCATTATACATTGCATACATGTATCAAAATATCAACCTCTACCCCATTAATATGTGCAATTATTACATGTCAATTCAAATTAAATAAAGCTTTTAAAGGACTGTAATATCAAGTTTTTTTGAGAATCTGGAGAAATTGAAGCATTCATACATTGCTTGTAGAAATATAAAATAATGCAGCTGTTTTGGAAAAGAGTTTGGCACTTCCTCAAAATGTTAAAAATAGAGTTACCATATGAACCAGAAATTCTACTCCTTGGTATATACCTAAGAGAAATTAAAACATATGTCCACACAAAATCTTGTATACAAATATTAATAGCAACATTAATCATGATAGCCAAAAAGTGGAAACAACCCAAATTTTCATCAACTGATGAATGGATAACAATATGTGGTATATCCATATGATAAATTATTATTTGGCCATAAAAAAGTATGAAGTACTGATACATGCTACATAACGGATGAACTTTGAAAATAATATGCTAAGTAAAAGAAGCCAGTCAAAAAAGACCACGTATTATATGATTCCATTTATATGAAACATCCAGAACAGGCAATTTATTGAGACAGAAAGTCGATTAGTGGTTTCCTAGGGCTTGGGGCATTTGGGGAAAATTGGAGTGACCACTATTAAGTATAGACTTCCTTTTGGAGTGAATACATAGTCTAAAATTGTAAGTAATGGTTACACAACTCTATGTATATACTAAAAACCATTGCAGTATACATTTTAAATGGGTGAATTACATGGTATGTAAATTATATCTCAATAAAGCTGTTAAGAAAATGTAATTTTTATCACAACATATTATGCTTTAAGAAAGATAGAAGGGAAGAAGGAAGGAAATTTTAAACGTCAACAAACAAATAAAAAGTAACAGATTCAAAATAGATAAATATTGAAGATAGGCAAGCAAGATTCAATATACATATATTATGTTACCCTGGAGACTAAAATGAAAGTAAGGAGACAGAACAAATGTTTAAAATTATAATTCAAGAAAACTTTTCTGAAGTGATTTTAAAAATGTGAAATTGTACATTGAAGAGCACACTATCTATCTGAAATAAGTATCCAGAAAGACTGATATCAAGTTAAATTCTTTTATAAAGAAAGAGAGAGAGTAGTGGATATTAAAGAATAACAATACATCCTTTGGGCATTTGTTGGAGGAAACAGCAATATAGTTATAAGGGAAAGAATAGCAGATTATGAGTAGACTTTTCAGCACCAATGCTTTATGCCATGAAAAAATGAGGTAATACATGCATGATACTAAAAAAAATGACTTCAACAACTGACATTCAGACAATCAAAATGAGTAGCAAGACACAGAAAAATGAAAAGGTTGTGAGCACTGACCTACGGTCACTTATAGAACTAAAGGAAAATGAAAATTAGAATGGATTGTAATATGTAATGGTTATATGCCTTCCCAAAATGCATATAGTAGAACCATAAAAAAGAGGGAGAATGCTACTTTTTCAGAGAGAAATTTGTGATTGGGATAGAAGCAGGTGGAAGAACTTAAGGGTTACTGGTAAAATTCCATTTATTTACCTTGATGTGGTTATGAAAGTGTTTGGCTTACAATAAATTTTTAAACTATTTCATTTTTCATGTTTCCTTTTCATTATCTGTGTTTTACTTTATAATAAAAGATTAAAAATGTTTTCCCCTGCAGATTATTCCAAACATCCTCAATTGTATTTTTATAGGAATACAAAATATTAAAATACCATCTATTTTTAAAAATATTTCCCTAATTAAAATCTTTAATAACAGATGATAAATTTCTCAAAATAATGCGCTAAAATGTATTCTTCATATATTTATTTGAGTTGCTTATTATAAAATATTTTAAATTTCATTTTATTTTAAAAATAAAATATGTTTTAAATAAAAGTAAAATCTTGATATACAAAAATATCAATCATCTCCCCTTTACTCACATTTATATATTAGTTTAATTAATTTCCCCTTGCACACTTTATTATTTACCAATATGTATAGTTAATATCTGTCACAGGTTAATAATAGACTGACATCTCTGAGATAATAATTGGCATTATTAACTTGACAATTGATCACGTGCATACTCATTAAAAACGGACAAGTCAATTATTTTGTGATAGTATAGAGTTAGACAAACTTTTAGTCATTTTTAGTCCATTCTGCTTAGGAAGTCATTAAAACTACCCTATCTCTTATAAACATATAATTGTGTTATTTTCCATGTTTCACATTTTCAAATTGTTTAACATTAACTTTTTGAAATATACTTCAGATTAAAGCTTGGTGTGTAGTTTAAAAAGCCAAGAATAATAACATTTCTTTATCAAGAATCTTACTAGCCAGCTAGCCAGTGGTGGTCATTAATAAAACCTCTCCATCTTCCCATTACAATTAATCATAGGCACTCAAAAAAAAAAGCACTCTAGTATTGGTAGTTTCCCACATGTTCAATTAATACATGTTGCATTTTCAGAGTACTCTCTTAGGTCCACCAATTTAAGGCCAACAAAGGTACTAATTAATATTGTAATTAGTTATCTTCAATCTCTTTGTTATCTACCCTCTGCTATTAAATTTCTTTCTACTATAATTCCACAGAGTTTGTTTACTTAATTTAAACTGGACAACTTTTGGTTGTTATCTTTACCTTGCTTAGGGCCTGGAGACGTTATGTGTTTGGGTGCAAGATCTCATAAACTATGTCTTAATACCTGAAACTTTCTTAAAATATGCTTCTGCAATTAGGAAAGATCCTTTGCAATGCATTATGAATGAACTGTAATTAACATACCTTGTATTTCTACACCCCTATTTCTTTCATTTACACCTAGCCTAACAGGTATAAAGCACTGATTTAATTATAAGAAAGCTGAAACTAGCTCTTTTAGCTCTTCAGTCTTTCTGAAATAAACATAATTTAACTGAATAAATTCAAACATGCCTCAGGAACTCTGAGTTCCAACTTTTTTCCCTAACAGTGAATACTTCTGTTATCATATCATTGTTCTTTCTGTGAAATGAATACTAATTCTACATCCCTGTCAAGGAAATAATTTGAAAATCTCTTTCACTGAAAATGGTTTATGTAAAATGCTTGGAAATATAAAATCTATAAGGTTGAAACGTTAAGAACTAGAAGGATTCGCCTAAAATATTAAAGTCTGGTCAGGCATGGTGGCTCATGACTAATCCCTACACTTTGGGAGACCAGGGAGGGAGGATCACTTGAGCCCAGCAGTTTGAGACCAACATGAGCAACATAGTGAGACCTCATCTCCACTAAAAATTTTAAAAAGTAAAACAAGTAGCCAGGCATGGTGGCACATGACTGTGGTCCCAGCTATTTGGGAGGCTGAGGAAGGAGTATCAGTTGAGCCCAAGAATTAGAGGTTGCAGTGAACTATGACTATGCCACTGTACTCCTGCCTTGGCAATAGGGCAAATAATCGGTCTCAACAAAACAGTTAAAGTCTGCTACTATTACTTATTTTATAAAGCTGCTGCTGTTTTCAGAGATGATTAGCTTATTTCATAAAACGTAATATTACAATTACGTAATATTACAATATAATATTATATTCATATATTAATGCACTAATGTATGAAAGGTGTCTCTTTTCATAAATCATCTCAAAGAACAGAAAAACTCTGTTCTTTGTTCTTAACAAGCTAAGCCTCTTATTTATAACAACTATCCCTCAATCTCGCCTTCCTATAGGTTATACCAATGTTTCATCTTATGTAATTTCTGAGCACACAGTACAGTGTAAATGTTTTTAGATCTCAATACTATTATTAAGAAACAACATTCTGCATTGTTGGCAAATATATAATAGAATCCTCTACCCAAAATAAAGGTCCATATTCATTTGAAATTAATGGTTCTGTCAACCTATTCTAAGTATAGCTAGATCTTCAAGCCAAGTATTATTCATTACACTTTTCTGTACTTAAATCAACCAGAGAAGTAAATAGGCTCATCCTCAAAATATTGATTAGGCATATATGTAACATCCCAAAGTGGACACATATTGTTTATCTCACTAGCAAATAAGCCACCACTGCCATACCACAATATGGAGGCATATCTACACACACACATATTGCATGTGCATAGCCTCACACACACTTTATAATTTCAGGGAATAATTATCTCTATTCCACACTGAACTATCCTAATATTGAATGCTATTTCTAGTCATATATTTATTTAAAATGAACTCATCATTCTTTGGCCACAATTTTTTGGTTCAGGGCTAAAAAGCTGACACCAGCTTGGCAAATCAGTTGCTCCTCAGAAACTAAAATTGGATGAGAGATTCTAATCTCAATCTGCCAGCCTTCTGGAATAAGAGAGAAATAAACTTGAAGCTATTGGCAGTGGTCATTTTCCCCATATAAGCAGGAAAGCAGAACATATTTTCTGGACTAAGAGAAAAAATGTGAAACATTCAGCCTAGGAGAAGTATCAAAAGATGATGAGATAGATAGAGAGACAGATGCATAATGAGAGATAGATATATGCATAAATACATATCACTTGCAACTAAAATAATTAGAAGTAAAATCTTTAAATCATTAAACTAAAAGATGGAAACTCCTTTAACTTATCATGAATTTTTTAATTGCATATGAAATTTTTATATTCTGATTTTATTAACTATTCCAATGGAATGGGAAAAGAGTACAAATGTTTACATGAATATTCGAACTTTTACTGCAAAATATTGTTGATTTTCTCCCTGATATTGTATTTAAAGTTCAGGAAATAGGCTGGGCACGGTGGCTCATGCCTGTAATCCCAGAGGCCAAGGCAGGTGGATTACTTGAGTTCAAGTACCAGACCAGCCTGGGCAACACAGTGAGGCTCCATTTCCACAGAAAAACACAAAAATTGGCCAGGCATGGTGGTGCTTGCTTGCAGTTCCAGCTACTTGTGGGGGCTGAGGTGGGAAGAGCAGTTGAGCCTGGCAGGTCAAGGCTGCAGTGAGCCGAGACTGCACCACTGCACTCTAGCCTGGGCAACAGAGCAAGACCCTGTCGCAAACAAAACAAAACAAAAAAAGTTCAGAAAATAAAATATGAGTCAAATTATACCATGAATGAAATATAATGTTGTAAGGCTTGTTAGAAACAAGAGAATAAAATTTTGATTTCTCAGACTTGTGTCCCTACACAAGATAAACAGGACAAACCAATGGAAATGAGACCTCTCCTCCTTTGAATTGATCTCAGAAGGATTTAAATCAATAACACAATAGCTGTTGCTGCTGCTGATGTCACTTAGGGATGAAAACCAGTGAGGAGCTGACATGGCTTATAGGTAAGAGCTGATAAGGTAGCACTAAAGTAAGTAGTTTCCCAATCAGTAGTGGTGCTTCTTGTTTGTTCAGATTATGCTTTTTGACACGAAATGTCTTTCCCAAGAAGTAAAGTGAGGTACATAAACATATAAATTTACTCTATTACCTGTAAATTATTAACAACACTTTTGATAAGTCACTTTGTATCATTTGTATACTAAAAAGATTGATGATTGAATATGCTGATTATGGGGTTAATTAAGAAACCAAAAGGAGAAGGCTAACGATGCTTACTTTCAAGAACTTTTGTGTTTTAATTTACAAGAGACCTCAAGATAGTTTGTGTGATGGTCAAAAAAGTATTGGGGGCTTTTTTCATCTTTAAATAAGCAGAAGATATCCAGAAACTGGCAATAGCAGGAAATCGTTATAGATAATTTTTAAAAAATTCTCTGTGAAATTTCAAAATTGTCTTTACCATAATATCATTTATGACTTAGAAAGCTGAGATGATTTTCTGCAATATTTAACCATTAAAGGTGGTGTCTACACTTTTACACTCCTGGTAGAAATGTAAATCAGAACAACCACTATGGAAAACAGTACGAAGTTTCCAAGTAGAACTATCAGTCCATCCAGCTATCCCACTACTGGGTATCTACCCAAAGGAAAAGAAGTCACTATATGAAAAAGACAGATGCACACACGTTTATAGCAGCACAATTTGCAATTGCAAAGATATGGAACTAATCTAAGTGCCCATCGACCAAAAAGTGGATAAAGAAAACATGGTATAGACACACTATGGAATACTACTCAGCCATAAATGGAATGAAATAATTTCTTTTGTAGCAACTTGGATGGAGCTGGAAGCTATTATTCTAAGTGAAGTAGCTCGGGTATGGAAAACCAAACATCACATGTTCTCTCTTATAAGAGCTGGAAGCTATTATTCTAAGTGAAGTAGCTCGGGTATGGAAAACCAAACATCACATGTTCTCTCTTATAAGAGGGAGCTAAGCTATAAAGTTGTAAATGTATAAGAATAATATAATGGACTTTGGGACTCAGGGGAGAAAGCTGAAAGGAGGGTGAGGGATAAACAACTACATATTGGGTACAGTGTACACTACTTGGGTGACAGGTGGACTAAAGTCTCTCAGAAATCACTGCTAAAGAACTTATCCATGTAAACAAAAACTACCTGGACCCACAAAACTATTGAGATAATTTTTTTTAAAGGTGGTATCTAACTCCCTACATTTCAAAAAAGGCCAGCCTTAGTGACTTGCTTCTAATAAACAGAAGATGGCAGAAGGAAGGCTATGTGACTTCAGGGGCAATAAAGCTTCCCTCTATCTCTTTGGGACATTCACCTGAGACCTCAGACAATACACTATGTGGAATTACAGAAAAGCCACAGGTAGGTATTCTAGCCCCATCCCTGATGAGGTTCCAACTGATCTGAGCATTCACCACCAATGAGCAAGCTGGCAGAAAATTCTAGCCTGTAGCCTTTGAGCTACACCACTCGAATCCGAGTGAAGAAAGGAATAGTTGTCCCTGTCGAGCACTGCCCAAATCACAGATTCCTCAGCAAAATAAATCTTCTTGTTTTGAGCCACTAAGTTTGTAAGGAAAAAGATATTTTGCAGCAAAAGATAACTTGAATAGAAACCAAGAATCTTAAAAATGTTAGGTAATAAAGGGAAATATAATGATGCAATACATGTAAAACTCATAGGGAAGAAAGTGGTTAGTTAAGAATTTCTAAGCCCTTTCACAGTGGTCCTCAATTAATTTTATACTCTAAATACTTTTATTTACAAATAATGGGCAAATAACACATTTCTATTGAAAATTGAGGAAGGGGAATAGGTGTGCTTAAAGAAACCCAGATGGCATGCCTACAGAAAATGTAGTCTCAGATCAGCTCAGTCGCCTGGCTTCATCTTAGCATTAAAAAAATTGTATATTGTATTATAATTATTAAATTATAAGTTGACCCTTGAGTAACACAGGTTTGAACTGCACAGATCCACTTATATGCAGATTTTCTTATACCTCTGCCACCTCTGAGACAGCAAGACCAGCTCCTCCTCTTCCTGTTTTTCCTCTACCTATTTAATGTGAAGACAAGGAGGAAGACCTTTATGATGATCCACTTCTGCTTAACATAAAATATACTTTTTCTTCCTTATGATTTCTTTGGCTTACTTTTTGTAAGGAAACAGTATATAATACATATATAGCTGGGAGCACTGGCTCACGCCTATAATTCCAGCACTTTGGGAGGCCAAGACTGGTGGATCACCCAAGGTCAGGAGTTCAAGACCAGACTGGCCAACATGGTGAAACCCTGTCTCTACTAAAAATACAAAATTTAGCCAGGCATGGTGGCGGGTGCCTATAATCCCAACTACTCGGGAGGATGAGGCAGGAGAATTGCTTGAACCTCGGAGGCAGAGGTTCCAGTGAGCCGAGATCACACCATTGCACTCCAGCCTGGGCTACAAGAGCAAAACTCCATCTCCAAATATATATATAATATAAACACATATATTTAAAAACACATATTTTTATATATAACACATTATATATACTGTTTATGCTATTAGTTAGGCTTCCAGTCTACAGTAGGCTATGAGTAGTTAAGTTTCTAGGAAGTAAAAAGTTATATGAGTATTTTTGACTGTACAGGGGGTCAGTACCACAATCTCCACATTGTTCAAGGGTTAATTGTAAATACAGAGAGTGTACATTTATAATGTGTATAGTGTATGTTTATGTATAGTATGTAAATATTACATATATAATAATAGTACTAAGCATGTGTATAATTACAAACATATATATGTTGATTTGATTTGAGCTTTTTTTTTTGCAGTTGGTAACATCACCCACCATGCAAAAAAACACACAGAGAAGAAAATCGAAGTTTTACAAAAAAGTTAAATTTACAGAGGAACTCCAATAGATAAGCAGGAGAGAAATATTGAGAATATAATAAGCTTAAATAAGAAATGATAAATTAAATTTATTTTTGCATTATAGCGAAATATGTCAAATTTCCCCATAGGACTATAGGGAATACTCAGTTTATATCTTTCAGTTCATATTATATATTTCATTCACTTAACAAATATATTCACTGAATGCCTATTACACTATGCCACAATTGCCCATTCATTCGTGGTGTACACAGTGAACACACGGGACCGAGATCCTTATCTTTCTATAGGTTGTCAACTCATTCCCAGGATATAGTTTGTGACGAAGAGAATATAGCACAATTAGTAATATTAGGATATTGGGAAGCAGCTGCCAGTTTTGAAGTTTATTAAGACATCTATCAATGAACAGATTGCCTGAAAATCTGTATGCTTTTCTTCACAGTGACAATCAATATACTCACTTTATGGTGTTACTGAAAATTCCCTCCACCAAAATTGTTTAGGCAGAAATCTATGAAGGAACACTCAGAATTGAGTCTTAGTTGATGTATCAGATTTTGTTTAATGAATTTCCTTCCAAGAACACCTTTCTATTGATATGTATAGGTTATGAGTAAATCTTCCTAAACATTCTAGAGTTCTAATGTAAGACTGTTGCTTCTAAATGCTTTAACTAAAATGAGCCATTGATGAGATCACTGACTTCTCTAATTATATGGCTTCTTCAGGCTCAAGTCTCCTTTCCTTCAATAACCCTTTCAAGCTAGAGTGATCACATCCTCTTAATTCATAGTTTCACTATTTAAACAAATACACCAAAATCCATTCTCTCTTGGGACTTTTAATTATTATTTTATATTTCTATGCATTATTTAACTGTTGAATTTTATTTAACATATAACTTATTTTCTCCAACTGGATGTTAAGTCTCCTGATGATATTGACATATACATACATATGTGTATAAATATTTATGGGTGTATATATATACACACACATACATATTTACATTTTAGTGCATTTTTTGTCTCCCCAAATAGATTGTAAGTTCCCTGAGCATAGCAACTTGGAATATTTTGTTCATTCCTGAATTCTCAGTGCCCAGCGCAGTAGTACAATAATAAATATTTTTTAATTAATGAATAAAATGTTAAATAAGTTTGTTATTCCTCAATTTAAAAATTATCCAGCAAGGTACAATGGATGACCATCTTGGTATCCTCAAGTTGCTACATAAACATTTTTTTTTTTTTTTTTGAGATGGAGTCTCGCTGTCGCCCAGGCTGGAGTGCAATGGCGCGATCTCAGCTCACTGCAAGCTCTGCCTCCCGAGTTCATGCCATTCTCCCGCCTCAGCCTCCGAAGAAGCTGGGACTACAGGCGCCCGCCACCACGCCTGGCTAATTTTTTTGTATTTTTAGTAGAGATGGGGTTTCACCGTGCGTTAGCCAGGATGGTCTCAATCTCGTGATCCGCCCGCCTCGGCCTCCCAAAGTGCTGGGATTACAGACGTGAGCCACCACGCTGGGCCACATAAATTTTTTAAATACCCCAAATACTCATTTATCCATAGGTGTCCAATAGATGAACCTTGATTCTCAAGTGTTTATCTGCTTGTAACAGATTTATCATCACATTTATTATTGAGTGGCCTTGGGGAAGCTGGATTGCAATGTAGGCTGTGGATGGGGGTAGAAGCAGCTCTAGACTTTAGTGGCATCATTTTTCAGTGAAATAGCTGAGCATATGAATATAAACTGAAAAAAATCTCTGAAGCCTTAGAAAGTCAGTGGAGAACTGCCATCTCTTGCTGTAGGAATCTAAACTAGCAAGTGATCCACATTAGGTAGGACACATTGGACCATACAGGGCTTATTTTCAATAGTAACATAACATGGCAGTGACAGAAGTAATAAAGGTGCAAAACTGAAGTGTGCTAGCAGACTGATAAGATTTTCTAACCTGATTTGAAAAATTAACACCATCAAATGTATAAGCCACATATATTAAATAAAAAAGGGCAGCAGCTTACTGCGCTTTTATATATACTATCTACTGTATACCATATACTGTATAGTATACACATTTTATATTTTATATACTAGATACTGCCCTTTTGTATATAATACTGAGGTGATATTGTATTAGAACTTAACTTATTTATAATATTTGCTTATCACAAAACTGCAGGAATGGTTTAAGAACCCCCTTTACAAGCTCATATAGACAGTCTAAAATGTAAAAATACTTGACCCATACTGTTGTCTGCTTTGTGGTCTCAGAAAAAAACTCAGAGACAGAGAAGTTCCCATTTTAACTGTCTAGACATTACTCTGCACTGTACCAGTCATGGTAAACAAGACCAATAAGCCACAGGCACAGGTTTTAATAGGCTGATAATAAATATGGTAGTGAATAAGTAATTGCAATGCAATATGCTGAATAAAAATTATAATTCAATATAGTAAATGCAGAGTGCTATGCAAGCGTCTAGACAGGGGTGATCATCCTTCTGTTTGGAGAAGGTCAGAAACACTTCTCAGAGAACTATTTATTTACATTGAATTTTGAGCAATGAGTAGGTGTTCATCATGTAGAATTCCAGTTAGAGAGAACAACATGGTGAAAGGCACCAAGCCATGAACAAGCAGGTAGCATTTCTACAGGGAAAGTCAAAGATCAGGAAGCACATCTGAGAGTGGCAGGAGTGAACTGGAAATTAAGCAAGTGCCAAATCAAGAAGGGCTTTGTGCACCAAGATCAGAATTGAATGTTGATGGAGTCTCTGAGATGCTGTAAATAACATCATACAAATTTACTTTGGGACACTCATGCGGGAAAATGTGGCAAATAGATTGGACTGAGCAGGAATAAGACCTCGTTTTTGGTTTCAGAAATTTGATTTACATGAACGGTGATTGTGATTGTACAAGTATATGGGAGATGATGGGGGTGAGGTGGGAGAGCGAAATAGAAAGAAAGGAGAAAGGAGATACCACTTTTAAACTAGAATCATAATTTCTCCAAATTTTCACAAGTAATAGCTTTATTTTATAATTATCTTAAATAATACATTATTTTTTATTGTTCATTTAAATACTTCAAAGGGATATTTTTGGTTTACTTTGTGGAGTATAAATATACAATATTTTTTCCCAGTTTTCAAGAAAATGCCACAACCATTCTTAAACTCAGTTTACACGTGCTAAGCTCAGTTATGTGTTTTCAACATGAGCCTAATAAAAACGAGCTTTGTGATTTGCATTCTTCTTTCTGCAATTTCAGTGTTTATGCATATTGGTTTGGCAAGAAACCAGATAAGCAGCTCATGTAGAATAACTTGGCAAGGGAAACCTCTGCTTCTGGTGAGAACTTCTTCGAGTTTTATTTCGTTATTAAAATTATCTTGTGCAGTCTAGATTCAGTAGGATCCATAACAGTGAAATAAACAGAATAATAAAGTGGTAGCATTTGGGGAAATTAGTATACTTCAGGGGTTAAAGAAAAAACTCAGGATTCTACATTGCCTGGGTTTAAATCTTCTGTGACCTTGAGCTAATTAATTACCTGTTGTTTGTCTCCTTTGCTCATGTTTAAATTCCACAGTTCCATCTCCATTTATAGGGTTACTATGAGGATCATAATAATGTATGAAATATGATAAGCACCATGCCTGGTAAATATATATAGTCGATAAATGGTACCACTTTCATTACTTAAATATAAGAATACTACTACAATGACGAATTTTCTTCCTTTGCTATCATAGGATAGTTAATGAATATTGAATTGGTCTAGTGTTAAAACCAATATATGGAGTACAGTAGCTGCTCTCTCAACCTCTTTTTAAAAATATTTTCCCCTTATTTCTGTATATAAAAAAGATTCTAGCAGCAACATAGATAGAACAGCATAATGGATCAGCTTTCCGAGTCATCTTAATGTTTGTATATCAATAAATGAATAATGGGAAATAAGAAGGTGCTGAATATATAACACATATACTTTATTTTTTGATACATGGTAATGACTACAGAATTATAATGGTTCACCTAAAATTATGCTTTCTCATATAACAATTGTTCCAGGTATTTTAGAGGAAGGTATAAATCTCCAATAATGTCCCTATGGCAATGGGAAGTAATTAGAGTATTTCACACCTAAAGATTAATATTTTGGATTTATATTGTACCTTTCATCTAAAGGCCTCAAAAAGCATCTATAAACATTAACTCATTAACTTCAATTGCCACACCTCCTGTAAAATAAAGAGTGTCCAACAGCATTTTACAAATGAGAAAAATTAAATTGAGAATAACTAAATATTAGATTTATGTTTTAGGAGTCAAGATTATAATTTAAGATTTTAAATAATGTTTATGAACACAAGATTTTCTACGTGTACACAAAATATGCTTTTCTTTACACTATTTTGCATGTCATTTCCTTTAAAAATGAATTTTCAATTGTTTTTATGACATTTAGGAACATAGACGTAAGTTTTATGAATTTTTACCATACAATGTTTTAGATAGATAGCTATGTTTCAGAACAATTCTTTTTTGTATCATGAATTTAATACACATAAAACTGAGAGATACTATATATATGCAAATATGTGTGTATGTTTTTGTGTATGTTCCTATATTGTAAGAGTCTCAACACCAGGAACAATGTTATATAATTTTGTGCTTACTTAAACTATCATAATTTCTCAATTAATACTGTAAGAAACTATGTGTCAGTAGACAATATTTAGACCTTTAAAAGTAACCCAAAATTATACGAATGCAATGTATCTGTGAATACTCTTCATTGAAAAACTTTTCTGTTCACAATGTATATTCTATAAAGTTTAAAATTTAAGTTATTTTATGGTATAGGTACAATCCGTCTTTATAATTTTTGTCTCCAAATACTCACACCTCACTTTACCTCTATTTTATTTATAACAAACTATTCAATTTCTCTAAAACATGCTCAGCACTTTCCTTATTGTGCTTTTGTTTTTTCTCTTCAGAACATATTTTCCCTCTGAAGTATATATCAAAATCCTACCATGTCCCAAGGCTTAATACTTAAGAAAAATCTCTTCCATGCAGCATCCCTAGTTCTTTTTTGTACCAGATACTGTTGGTGCTTCTTCTAGATCCCATGTACAGGCAAGCCACTGTAAGTTTACACCTGTGCACTTATACACAGACACACACATATGCACACACGCAGGCAGTTCATGGCCAAAGAATAATGGATGTAACAGCCTAGATGCTTAGTTTCTAAGAGTGATAACTACTGTGGTGCTATTTTCACTCCAGATACCTCGTTGGAATCTGGCTCAGGAAAGACTTCTTCTGGAACCATTTATTTGCCTAGTGATAAGGTTAGGCTTTGTGTCCCCACCCAAATCTCCTTGGGCAATTTAATCCCTAGGTATCAAGGGAGAGACCTGGTGGGAGGTGACTGGATCACGGGAGTGGTTGCTCCCAAGCAGTTCTTCTGATAGTGAGTGAGTTCTTACAAGATCTGATGGTTTCATAAGTGTTTGGTAGCTCCTCTCTTGCTCACTTCTCTCTCCAGCAGCCTTGTGAAGAAGTGCCTTCGGCCATGATTGTTGAGTTTTCTGAGGTGACCCAGTCTCAGCCATTTCTTCATAGCAGTGTCAGAACAGACTAATACACTTAGCTTCTACCTCTGCCCTATTCTGCTTTCCTCACTCAGTTCACTTTTCTTCTGGGCACATTCCTCAATAAATTGCTTACCCAAGAATCTCCAACTCAGGCTCTGCTTGTAGAGAACTTAAGCTACAATGCCTTTAATTCAATGAATTCCTGAACTCATCGCAATATTATTTATAATAAGTAGACAAAAATAATTTAAAAGTCCAATAACAGGGGGCTTGGTTAAATAAACCGTTTTCTATCTTAACAGTGAAACAACAATCCAAAATTAAAAACATTATTTTAGAAAAGATAAGACAGAGTTTATGAAACAATAAAAGGACAAAAGATTATGTGCAGTCTTACGAGCAAAGTCTATGCTAAATAATGGAGATATGGCTCTGACAAGTTAAGATACAGTCCCTGACCTTGTGAAGTATATAGTAGCATGAGAGACATATTATATAAAGTTTCAAAGAACCCCCACATTTTAATTTCTACTGAGGTAAATGCTGTGAAGTATAAGCAAAATTCATGAAAAAAAAAAAAAAAAAAAAACAACAACGAAAGACCTGACTTGGTCCGTAAAGCCAAAAAGACTCCAGTGAGGAAATAACATTTGATTAGAATCGTGGGGCATGATGGGTGTGATGTTTCAAGAGTCATCTAGATATAGGAAGCAAAAAAATCAATGGTCCTGAAGAAGAAGCAGCATGACACCTTTGAGAAACTAAAAAAGCAAAAGATAAGAGTAGCAATGGTTGGTGAGGAGGTAGAGATCTAAAAATCTAGAGACTTATAAGTCATGTAAAACGTTTACTGTTTTATCTTAAGACCCATGGAGGCCAAATAGTAAGATACAGATTTTAAGCACAGTAGGGACATGATGTTATTTTTAATTTTTAAAATATTACTCAAATTACTCTGAGGAGAATAGGTGAGTAGGGGTAGTGGACACCAATATGCAAGTTTTGAGGTTACTGCAGCAGCCAAAGTCAGAGATGATGGGAACTCTGGCTATGGAATAGTACAGAAATGTGGAGGAACGATTGCTTCTTAACCTTTTGGCTAAGATCAAGTGTAGAAATGTGGAGGAATGGACAGATTTGAGATATTTAGGAAGCAGAAACAATGGGACTCATGTTTAATTGGTTAGGAGGTTGGAGAATAAAGGAGGCTTCAAGCATTTTTATAGGGATCTGGCTTTCCCAACTGCTAGATGTTGTTGCCTGTCACTGAAACAGACATCATAATGAAGCTTTGAGTGAAAAAGGGGTTAGAAAAGGATATCAGTTCTAAATATATGAAGATTATGGTGTCCTTATGACATCTAAGAATTACTAAGCATACATGAAGCCAGAACACTAAATTACTTACAAATAAATGTGTACACACATGCACATATGTACTTGTATAACATAGACATTACCGCAAATATTTGTGTGTATGTAATGAAAATCAAGGCCATACATTATAATGTTAGCCATTCTTATCCCTAAATAATAAAATTATGCAGCAATTTAATTTTTTTGCATTTGTAAGTTTGTCAGTGTATACACATAAATTTTGTCCTCATAAAATAAAGTAAAAAACAGTGACTTTCCTTCCATGGACCACCACATAGCTCTTTAAAAACTATTCAATTATTGACTTCTCAAGCATCAGATAAACCAATGCTTGGAATCAATCACTCAGGGTACACTTCTAAGATGATTTTTATGTGCAAATTTGGCATTTGGCTTTTTATTACCATTCAAGTCTAGTCATTCAACCATCTCTCTGAGTAACTCATTATTTTTTATTTGGCAGAAAATATTCCCCAGTAATGGTATACCCTTTAAAATACAAATAACTTTTTATTGTATACTTTAGACTTCCTTTAATTGCATAAGTAAGAAAAAGTGCTTCAGATCAATTGGGAAATGCATTGACTTACTCATAACACAAGATACCTGTGATTTCTTTGCTTAATACTGAAAATCATAATTGAGATTCAGCAGCTTCCTAACATAACTTTTCCCCAAAGTCAGACTGAAAGAAAAATAAATCATAATAATGATTAATGATTACTGAGAGTTCATTACATGCTGGGCAAATCTCTCAGTGCTTTGCAGCAATTCTCTTATTTGACAATAAATCTGTGAGAAAAGAATACCAAGATCTTTTATGTGATGAGAAAACAAGTTCTGATATGTTGAGTAAATCACTGTAGGTCACACAGCAAGTGTCTAAAAGGATTGGGATTCCAACCCACTCAGGCTGAGAGTAACTTCATGCCAAACTTTGTAATATACCACTCTTATTCTGCAAAGGGTGTAGCTTGATGCTAACTCTGAAGTTAAAACTTTAAACATAATTTTTCTTAGACCACAGTTCTTTCAAACAACAAGATAAAAAGCCACAAGGAATGTGACCCTTTCCAATATAGTAGTCAACTGCTGAAGAGGTCATGAAGCTGAGATTTATTGACTACCTATTGTATCAGTTCAAATTCTTAATGTAGAATAAAAAAGAAAACTAAATCAACTTTGAACAGAAAATTATTGGCTCGTATAATGAAAACTCTAGAGGGAGGGCAGGCTCCAGGCACAATTTGATCCAGAGGTTCACAGTACTATCAAAACTTGGCTCTGTTCCTCTGTGATTTTCTTGGCTCAGCTCTGTTCTGCATGCTGGCTTTGTTGTCAGGCTGAAAGCCAAGATAGAGAGAGCAAGTGTAGGTTTTTCATCCACATACAGTACTGTTATGATTTGAATGTGTCCCCCAAAATTTATGTGTTGGAATCTTAGTCCCCATTGTAGTAGTGTTGAGTGGTGGGACCTTTAAGAGCTGATTACATCACGAGAGCTCTACCTTGTGGGCATTAATGTCATTATAAAGAGAGTGGGTTCATTATTGCCAGAGTGGGCTTGTTAAAAAAAAAAACGAGTTGAGACTCCTCTTGCTCTCTTCCTCTCATGTGCTCTTGCCCTTCTGCCTTCTGCCGTGGGATGATGCAGTACAGAAGTCCTCACCAAATACCACCACCATGCTCTTGAGCATCCCAACTTGAAGAACTATAAGAAATAAATCTCTGTTCTTGCAATAACAAATACCTGAAAATGTGGAAGTGACTTTGGAACTAGATAATGGATAGAGGCAGGAAGAATTTGAAGGAGTAGGCTAACAAAAGCACAGATTGCTATAAATGGAACATTAAGGGCAATTCCAGCAAGGGCTAAGAAGAAAACAAGAGCTGTAACAAGAGCCTAAATCTTCTTAGGGATTACTTAAGTGGTCATAATCAGAATGTTGGTGGAAATATGGATGGCAAAGGCAGTTCCAATGAGGTCTAAGACAGAAATGAGGAACAAGTTATTGCAAAACGGAGTAAAGGCCATCCTTGTTATAAAGTAGCAAAGAATGTGGAGGAATTGTGTCCAGGCCCTAGGATTTTATGCAAGGCAGAATTTAAGAGCAGTGAACCAGGATACCTGGTGGGAGCCAGTCTAGGTAGCTTGTGCCTATAATCCCAGCTACTCAGGAGACTGAGATGGGAGAATTGCAAGGGCCCAGAAGATTGAGACCAACCTGGGTAACATAGTGAGACCTCATCTCTAAAAAATGAAAAGAAAATTAGTTGCATGTGGTGGCACATGCATGTAGTCCAAGATACTTAGGAGGCTGAGGCAGGAGGATCACTTGAAACCAGGAATTTGATGCTAATCAATGATCATGCCACTGCACTTCAGCCTGAGTAACAAACCAAGACCCCATATCTAACTAAATAAATGAAATGTTTTTAAAAAGGGTATCTGGTGGGATAAACTTCTAAACAAAATACGGAAGAAGTTGTTTGTCTAGTTTTAACCATGTATAGTAAGATGCAAATGGAGAAAAATTATTTAAAGATATAATTTATAAATAAAAGGGAAGCAGAAGGGAAAAATTTAGAAAATTCATAGCCTGGCCATGTAAAGATGAAAAAGGCTTATTTAGGAGAGCAAACCAAGAGTGTCCAAGCAACCATCTGCTAAAAAGATTAGTACAAATAGAAGGCAGTCAGGTGCTATTCAACATAATGGGAGAATGACCCTAAAGGCATTTCTGAGATCTTAGAGGCAAACTAAGATCTTGAGGACAAAGTTTCCAGAAAGGCACCTGTGGGGCCTCAGCATTCACTGCCCATGGCCAGCTTGGTACTCTGCCCACTACATTCCAGTGCAGTGTTCCTTGGCCACCAGAACATTGGCTCAACTGACCCCTAATCGTGGCTCCAGTGGGCTCAGCTGCAGCTTGTGTCACCACGTACACACAAGCAACACATGGTGCTGACTCTGCAGATGAGCAGAATGCAATATCTGTGGGGCCATTCTGGCCTTCATCCAGATTTCAAAGGATGTCTCAGACAGCCTGGGAGACCAGGCAGAGACTTGTTACAGGAATAGAGCCACAACAGAGAGTCTCCACTAGGGTAATGCTTAGTGGAGCCATGGGAGGCAGGGCTGCCTTCAAGACCCCAGAACTATACAGCCCCCAGAGTACAATTCCAGCCAAGTAGACTTGCAGGAACAAAACTCCCATCTGTGAGAGCTGCTGAGTGGACTGAGCCCAGGACAGCAATAGAAACAGGACTGCCTGAGGCCTTAAGGGCCAACCCCACCCCAGTTTTCCCAGGATGAGCAACATGGAATCAAAGGAGATTATTCCACAGCTTTAAGAATTTTGTTTTCGTTGTTGGGTTTTGGACTCACATGGGAATTGTTATTCTTTTCTTCTTGCCTGCTTCTCCCCTTTGAAATGGAAATGTCTACCCTATGCCTATCCCACCATTGTATTTTGGAAGCACATAACTTGTTAATTTCACAGATGGAAAATAATTTGCCTCAGAATAAATCATGCTTTAAGTCTCACTCATATTTGATTTAGATGAAACTTTAAACTTTGTATTTTTAAGGTGATATTAGAATGGGTTAAGATTTGGGGGACTATAGGATGAAATGAATATATTTTTCAATTTGAGAAGGATGTGAATTTGGGGGACCAGGGGTGGAACGCCGTGGTTTGAATGTGTTCCCCAGAAAGCATGTGTTGGAAACTTATTCCCCAGTGCAATAGTGGTGGGAGCTGGGGTCTAACAGGAAGTGTTTAAGTCATGAGGGCTCCACCTTCATGAATGATCTAATGCTGATTATGAGGGGGCTTGAGGCTGTGAGTTCAATCTGTTGTTCTCTCACGAATGCCCTGTTTCCCTTCTGCCTTGTGCCATTAGATGATGCTGCAAGAAGACCCTCACAAGATGCAGCCCCTCAATCGTGGACCTCTCAGCCACCAAAACCATGATCCAAGTAAATTTTTTTTTCCTTATAAACTACCCAGTCTGTGATATTATCCTATAGCAGCAGAAAGGGACTGAGAAAAGTACTATCACTGAAAATGGGTAAACGTGTGTTCAAGTTTCTAAGCTTCAAGCATAATTTCTGAGACTCTCTGAAACTCTGCCAGTTTAGGACATGTGTGACCCCCTTACCAACTACCACTGACAAGAGAATCACATGCAATGGTTTAATGAAGGCTGGGTCACATGCTGTACTCCTAGTGCAGCAATATCTGTAGATATCCACAGTGAAATCAGGACATACTGGAAAGAGGTAGGGGAAAATAATGCTAGGAAATCATGCAGCAGGTGTTCCTGCCTCTATTGTGTGTTAGATTTGTAAATACCTCATCTTATTCAAAGTAAGCCTAAAAGTCCAATGAAATAGGAATTAACTCTACTGTATAAATTAAAATGTAGAAGATTACAGTGTTATGTAAACCAGGATTTTAAAAAAATTGTCTGGCTCAATAGGGTCTGCTCTCTAAACAGTAGCAATTTGACTGTTTTTTATATAAATTGTGTCAGCTATTGAGTCATTCCAGTTTTCTGAATTTAGAAGAAATAACAAATGAAAAACTAGTAGATACTGTGTGTCTGCATGTATTCCCTTTCTTCCTTCCTCCTTTCCTATCTTTCTATTATTTCACAAGTATTTGCTTACCCTCAATAAAAGAAAAGCAAAGCGCCATTCCTCATGGGAGCAGCAAAATATGTAAGGCAAATTCTTTTCCTTCTGGGGTAACACAAATACTAGAAGACAGATCAATGCTCAGCTAACTAAAGTAAGACAGATCGGGCTAAGTGCCGTAACCTGAATTTCACCTCTAATGTCTAAATTTCAGACTGCTTATCCACTGGCACTTTTTGTGGTTAGCACATAGTTTCTCTTGCCTTTCTACTTAAAAATAATATATAGAGTTTGTGCTAACTTTAATAGAAATTAAAATATATTTTAACCATTTAAAACTTTATTCAAAAAGTAAATCAAGGTCAGTCTGACACATTATTTGGCAATAATGATTCAAACTGCATGATCTGTGTTTTGCAACAATTCTTTATACATCTCAATCTCCTATGAACTACAAGTAGGACAAACTCTACAATTTTATTTAATATAGTACCTCCACAGTGAATAACACATGGCCTTGAACAGAGTAGTAATTGCTCAATAAAGAGTTTTTAAATGAATTTTGATAAGTGAAATTCCAGTGCATACTTTTAAAGGACACCACATTTTCCTAGAAATGTAAATATCCTAATTTGAGATCATTTTCATATACATTTGAGAAGATGAGTTTGAAAAAAATTCAGAACTTTTTCACATTCTAATTTCTCTTTAGTTACTAGCTAGAAATTTGTTTCAAGAACTTAGAATTTCCACTGTAATTCACAGGCTATATGATTATATATATATTTTATAATGACATGTATATATATAAAATGGTTTTTCACAAAAGAAATAATATAAAGTCAAGTTTAAACTTAAGTTTATATTATATTAGCTACTTTGTTTATAGAAACCACAAGAAGATTCTTTTTGGAATAATGAATAAGACGTTTCCAATTATTGTCTCTATGAATAAAAATTTATCTAAGCATTCTTCTTTCTTGAGGGGAGGAATTCTTGAAATCTTACCAACTCTATTTATAAATATTGCCCAAGTAGTATGATAGATCCAATTAACATGTAGAGGTAATCTGTAATCTGTGCCTTGTGGACATTCCATTGAAAGTGAGACACGCTTGTACAGAGGTCACTACTACTAAAACCAGCCATCCAAACCACTGCAAGATTCTGGTTACTGCTGTCAAGGAGCCTTCCAAGCAAGGAAACTAACTCTGAAGAGGAACAGCAGATCCTCTGTCATGTTGTCAGGATATTCAGGGAGAGGTTTTTGACTAAAAAACGGAGGGTGTGAGAATATATTCGTATTAAAAAATTTAAACATCTTAAACAATGGTGAGACTCTATGACATGATAGTGTTATCATAGTGCAATGTGGCCCACAATGGATTAAATAATGTTATGTTTTCTTCCCTGAACTAATCTACCTTACTCACCTTTGCCTGCCTCACTGTTGGCTACACTAACATTCTTGCTGGTTCTTCAAAATGTCTAGCATGTTTCTCTCTCTCTCTCTCTCTCTCTCTCTCTCTCTTTCCTCCCATACTCCTCTTCCTTTTTCTCCTTTCTCTTCCCTCTCTCTCTTCTCTCCTTTCCCTTACTCTTTCTTCCCACTAGAATAATCTATTCCTGAATAATCACTTAGTTTTAGTCTCTGTTGTATGTCATTTCCTCAGACACAATGTCATTGGCCCCCTAATCTAAATTCATATCCTCTATCACTCTCTACCCCATTTTGCTCCTGTTTTTTCTTCATAGACCTCCATATGTCATCATTCCTTTATTGCCTGTCTTCCATTTTAGAGGTAAGCTGCAGGAAGACAAGATTTTTGAGTGTTTTTTCTATTTTGTTTATCATTGTTTACCCAGGGCATATGTAGATATTCTACAAAATGTGCTAAATATCAAAATAATCAATATATATCATTGTGCTTTGCAATTTTTCATTTGGGCCTCCTAACAACTCTATAAAGTAGACAGGATGAGATTTAAATGCAATGAAATAATAATTACATAAAATTTTCTGCCAATTTTATCTTACAAATGACCAACAGGACAGACACTAAGTAAATGAGTATTAAAAGTGAGCAAGCAGGGAGAAACATCAATATGATTGAATTGAGTTCATGCAATTCAGCATGACTCTGGGGAAGCTAAAATAGGGAAATAAAGTATGTAGATGTCATCTTTGGTTTTCTTTCCTTTTATAATAAACTCCAAAGTTTAAATAGAGAGGGCTTAAAAAGAAGCCAGCAAGCACAGTTCTGTACTATCAGCTTCCTAGAGGATCAGAACCTCAGAAAAAAAAAGTTTAAGAATTTTGGTACTATTCCACTTGTGATGCTTAACCATTTGGAATTATTATTCTTGGAATATTAACAATTTAGGGTTAATAATCTTGAATAGTGAAAGCTAGACATGGAAAAAATGACTATTATGAAGTAAAATTAGCATGCACGTGTGCACACACATATATATACACGTGCACACAGAGCAAACTCTACCCAGGAGACTAGGGACATCCAGAGAGTAAATTATTTAAAAATAATGTGAAATAATAATTTATTCCAGCTTCAAGTCCAATCTTCTCTTTTCTGCTAAAAATAAAAATGAACAAATAATTTACAAGGACATAAAGAGGAAACATGAAAACAGAAATTAATATTGAGAAAACACTTCCCAGTAGGTATTAACTAATCCTTAGCTGTAGCAGTTAGAAAAGCACACTCCTAAAAGATTCATTTCTTACAGGTACTTCTGCTTTTTAAATTTATTCCGAACACCCAACAGAAACAAAAACAAAATAATGTTGTTTTTAGTTCCTTAAGCTAACAAAGGTTTTTCTCAGGTTACATTTTATTATGCTGTTTGTGATCACGGGCATAAAATTACCTTTCAAAACAAGAAAATTCAAGAACAATCCAGGGAAAAATACAAGTTTAATGCTATAGTAAATTTAGAATCCAATCTATCGTCTCTAGTGAAAGAGATACCAGTGTCCTTGGCATGATTACTTGAGAAGCTAGCAGAGGTTAATGCAAATATGGTAGGAGTATAACCACATATAACAGAAACAAGTTGTCATCATTTTCCTAATGAACGCAAGTCCGTTATGCTGTGATTACTTCTGAATGTTTATTTTCAACCACTCTGGCTGAACTTCAAAGTGTTCCATTCCATAAATCTCTGGTATCTTTAGTGATAAAGTCCACATATCTGGCTGACATTAGCTGAAATGACCTGTCACTCTCTTGCACCTTTCCCCTGCTCTGGTACTCCTGCAGAGAAGAACATTTAACATGGCATAAGATGCAGTCCTTATCCTGTTCCAGCAGAGACCTAGACCACATGCAGCTGTTAGACATTCTAAAGGTCATTCTCCCTCTTGAATGTGTGTATTATTTGTTTTTGCTATTATTTGACATTTGACATTTCTCCCTGTCTCTATCTTATATAGCCCCTTTTCAAATGAATGAGCATTTATCACTTTATACATTAACATATATTAGAAGCAAACTGAAAATATAATGGTAAAAATAATCTTTTATGTTTTCCTTTTTTTCCTTTCCTGATGACCTTAACACAGCGCATCATCTTACCAAATAAAAATGACTTACTGTAAATAATGCACTATAGTCTTAACTTCCTATTTCATGTATTATTTTAATCATTGTTAATTTCTTTTTTAGTTTCTTTCTATTCTCTACGTGAGGGGAACAGCCAAAGAATACGTGTTCAGAAACAATGTTGAAATGTCTTGCGGATTAGAGGACAACAAAATTTCAGGAAGAAACACATTGAAACATATGTTCTAAAAATTTTATTTTTTAAAAATGTGAAACTATAACAGTTGAAATATTTCTGTGAAATAATTAAATTTAATCTTTTTTTCATAATAAGGGAAGAATATTGGTTAAATGTTTTATGTAGGACTGGGCTAGTTTACTATAAAGATCTGGCAAATTTCCATAACACTAGGCCAAGGAATCATGGCTAACTAAGCACTCTTATCTCTCAGTTAGAAAGAAAGATAAAACATAGAATACATGTGACATATGTGTAGTTACTCCCTACCATGTGGTACACTCTAAAATGGGGATCTGAGTGAAATTGTTTAACTTGGGACTAGAGATTGAGAAGGCACACACACACACACACACAAAATCTAGGATTACAGGCAGGAATGTTGTTAAAAACTGATATTTAATTATCTAGGAATAATGTGAAATAAAGTGCATGCTAGCTTCAACTACTTGATACTGACAAACTGGAGAGAAGTGAACAGATACTTAAAGGGGTAGACACTGAGCCTATTAGTGATTTCAGAGTAATCACTGACATTGTGTGATGCAGCAAAAGCTACCTTAAAATTATAGCTATTTGTAAAGCACCAAAAAAGAAACAAAAACTAGGATATTTTAATGACCACTCAGTAGAAGAAATATTTTGCCTTTTTTAAATTTTTTACGGCTGGCAGCAAAGAGGTGCCAAACACTACAATGTGGCAATGTAGTAGAAATGTGTGGAGTAACCTGGATCACAGTGATCAGAAAATCAGAGAGGGCTCTAGGAAAGAATGTGGCTTCTTGTTGGCAAGGGGACTACCTGAGGAAAAAAGAAGTGCAGAGGATGCATGGAAAGGATACAAACCCAGTGAAAACTGTTCTTGACACAGTTAATAAGGGGACAAATAAGCACAGATATCGGACAGTATTATTTATCTTCTGTGCCTCAGAGAAGTTATGCAAATTATATAGCATTGTTTAACTTCCTTTATCTCCTCTGCAAAATGGGTATAACACCAGCATTATTAAGATTATTGCTACACGTTAATGAGATAATGCCTAGAAAGTGCTTGCAACAATGATTGGCATATTGTGAGTACTTAATAAATGTTACTCTGATTATTTGGTTTTTATAGGTGACCATGAATAACAAGTAATAAATCATTTTCATTACAGATTATGGATGTAGTCATTTTCACTTTATCCTTTCTATATATTCTATACTTCTATAGAATCCCACTGGGTATTTTTACTAACAGATAAAGTAGGGTTAAGGAGACTGTATTTATTTATTACATTCATGATAGTGGCACCAAAGGTGGGCAAACTAGTTCAGTAATCCTTTATACACCATAGAAATACTTTAGCTGTATTTTAGTAATAATAATTCTAAATCTACAATACAATAAAAGTCATTTTTCATTAAAATGCCTTTAAATTAGTATTGTGGACTTATGTTCAGTGTACTTATGCTCATTGTTCTGATTTGCCTCCAAATGTCTCAATAAGTTACTGACCTTTAATCAGTTATAAATCTAGGAACTAGTTTTGTTGATTAAAATTGCAGTGATAGCTCAATTCTGAAAGACAAGTCTAGTTTAATTTTATAAAAGAACAGTTGGTAAATCAGTTCCAGTATGTAAAACTGCCAGGAGAATTAAATGCTTACCTAAATCCCTGTAACTTCTATCTCCCTCTATTTTTTTTCATGTAAGCATACTTTTCATGTGTAGAATTATCTTACATAAACATGGGAGAAAACAAACTTTTCAGTACAGTATATATTAGAAGTTTTAGAAAAAGAGTAGACCCGGGAATGTGGATAATTGTTTAAATAAAGTTAAAAGAAATTAAGAAATTAAGAATTGATTGCTGAAACATGAACATTAAAAATCAGAAAACAATATAGATTGAAGAGATTATGACTTTAAAGATATAAAAGTATAAAGTTAAATGGTCATGAAAGAAGAGTTATATCTTAAAATGAGTCCAAGCAGTAAAAAGATTATGGGTTTATCAGTAACTGGAAAGATTCCTATTTTATGAAAGTTCTGAAGCCAAAAGGAGAAAGAATAAAAAAAATAACAAAAATTTGTACTAGGTGTTTTCTGTCATGTTAAACTAATAGCAAATCTCTTTGTTTGAGTTTGAAAATGGGAATATAAATAACTCATATATTCATAGGCAGTTTTCTTCACTTGACATAATTACAAAAATCAATTAACTCTAGCCTCAAGATATTTGGCAAATGTGCACAAAACAGACTGAAGTAAAATGTACAATTATTTAAATAAAGTCTATTACATTTATTATATTTATGAAGTTTTGAGGGAAGGCACAGAAGAAAGGGGAAGGAAAGCTAATACTGACTGAAAATTCATTGTGGGCCAGTCACTTTCATTCTTTCAAAATCTGTTTCATTTACTTAATGTATTTTTCATTTGACCCTTCAAGCTAGGTGGTCATATCTACATTTTACATATAAAAACACTACGGTAAAGAAGGTTAAAATTAATTGTCCATAAGTGCTAAAATTTGGGTAAAATGGCATTTGAGCTGAGACACATGTGACAAGCTCCATGACTTTTAGTTCAATGAATTAACAATTAAAGCTCCAAGATTAGTAACATCTACTGAAATAATGATAGAGATGGGTGCCTAAATATAACATATAATCATATACTGTATATATATTACAGCATGCTCAGTTGTGCATGCACAAAGACTGAAATCAGAAGGAAATATGTAAAAGCAAAGCTGATTTATTTTTTGTATAGTTGGATTTTTGGAAGAGATTTTTCTTACATAGTGTGATAATTTTGAACTCTGATTTCCACTAATATTATTACAATGGTATTTGTTCAATAAATGATATGTGAAAACTATGAAAAATTATCTCATGTCTTTTTAACATAATTACAAACTATGTTTGACTATTAAAACCTTCAACAAACCAGTCCTGGTGACAAATGCATATCCATATCAGCATATATAGATTTTCACTATAATTTGAATAAATCATAGAGATGTTATTTGCATTTGCAATATACACATCTTTTTGTTAATTTAGTATTACTTTAAGGCTTCCTACAGTGATACAGAAGATGCTGTGCAAAGTCAGTGTGTGTGTGTGTGTGTGTGTGTGTCTGTATGTATGTATGTGTATATAAAAGTTTATTATTGAGGATAAACATAGCATAGGAAACCTAAGAACATGTTATAGGCTATGCAAGAATATAATCAAGAATATTTTATGTAGCCTTTGCAAATAAGAGGATTACAACACAAAATTATCATTTAGCACCAATTTAAAATATTCCCAAGCAAATACATGTATACATAGTGACATGTTTCTGATAGACACTGAATTAATTTTAGTTAATCTGGGAAGAAAAGAGTTCCAATCTGAGCCTGGGGACAGAGAGAAAGGATGGGCAGGAGAGACAGTAGGAAAGAAGAGTGGAGAGTGCAAGCTGTGGAAAAGGGTTTGGATCTGCATGAAAAGAAATAGGATTTGGAACTGGAGTAAACTCTGCTGGGTTCTAAATTCTGTGAGAAACCTAGAGGATGATATATTCACTGCACCTAGCAGGTTGTAGGAATAGTTCTCCAAACACTGGGTTAGTTACCTCTTACATTATATTCAATAGGCTTCAAAGGAATTAATTATTGTACTCTAATACAATATAGTAGAGCACAGGTAAAAATGGATCCCATGTAATGAAAACAATTAACAAATTCTACATAATCGGGCTATTTCTATCTCCTAGATAGCCCACATTAATAGGCCACATTAATATTACTTTGATGATATGAATATAATTCCTATTTTTAGTAAAAATTCATAGAGTATTCAAAAAATTCCTACCTGTGAAGCATTTGAGCCACTTAACCTCTCAATGTGCTCATGAGCAAAAGAGGGTCCTAGGCTCTGGACAATCTCTAACAGTCTTTCCATGAATGAGCCTATGATCATGTAATTTCTAAAGGAAAGTGACTTAAGGATCAGGCCAAAATCACCAGAGAAGAAGAAAGGAGGAAGGTGGCAAGCTTCAGAGCACAGTGTGAGAATGATGCTCTCAAAGCCAGTTTCATGTGGAAAACATAGAAAGTGATAAGACCACAAAAAACCTGGGATGCCAGAAGTAAAACAAGGAGTAAGGTTTACATAAAGTAGGCCAGCAATGAAAGAGCAAGAGAATGAGGGGAAGAGACCAATGCAGGCTACCACACAATCATTTCTTCAGGTAAAACTGGACTTTGGAACAGAGATAGGAAAAAAAACTTTTAGGAGAATCTAATGACTTCTACATGAAACAGAAAGGGCACACCTGAGACAAAAGTTTGTAGAGGTTGAATAAATTAGATAACATGGTATCTAGAGAAGAATTAATTCAAAAATGCAAGACAATATCTTATAGTTATTATCTATAACAAATAGCCTTTTAAAAATGTATATACACTTATGAAACCTTAACCGTTAAGGCTAACATCTTATTTGAAGTCATTGTTACTTTATAATAGAGTTCTGTAAAAAATAAAAATGATCAAAACTGTTGGTTACTTGATGATTTCTCCTCTTGGGACTCAAGGTAAAGCAAATTTTAATCTTTTTGGTAAACTATCTTTACATTTTTAAAAAACAGTACACTCCATGTGAGAATACTTGTAAAAGCATTTGAGGTTGGGTATGAATTCATGCAATTGCCAATGTCCAATCAGTTCTGCTAGAAGTTGCACTCAATTAGCAGATAGGGAGAAAGGACAAAAAAATAATAATAAAGGGAGCAATTACAGGCACTAGATTCTGATTTTTAAAAATCAGTTAAATATGTTTATATGAAGGAAGACAACTTATACTTAGCTATTTGTCCTTTTTTCTGCTGCCTGTGAAGGAAAAAGTAAAAGTCCTCTAAGTAATTAAAAATAAAACATAGCCAAAACAAAATATAATTTGTTTCTTTAATCAGCATAAAAGGAAAGAATAACCTGCTGCTAAGACAGAATTATTGGCGATTGAAAGAGAATATACCTAGGGGAACATTGAGGCTGAGCCAAACTTCAAGCTGATCACAGGCCCATAGGCAGTATTCTAATACTAGGGTGCTTATTTGCCCCAGTTTGCCTCCAATCAGTCCAAATGTGTCTTTTTCACCCCAACAGCAACACTTTTTAATTTTTGTGGGTATATAGTAGGTATACATATGTATAGGTTACATGAGATACTTTGATACACACATGCAATGTGTAGTAATCACATCAGGGTAAATGGGATATCTATCACCTCAAGCATTTTTCCTTTGCCAAGAGCTATCTTAATAGTATATTATCCTTTTTATTCCGAAAGGAGTCCTGGTTTGGACAATAAACTGGACAATACATTTAGGAGATCATCCTATATTAGACCAAAGCTAAGAAAAGAGTGTCGCCACCAAGACAGAGCTAAACATCAGAATCAGCCCTAGCAAACATTTTAGCCATCTACTTCATGTAAATTTATAATGAGATATCATCTTTGAAAGAACAGTTAACCTTAAATCCACATACTTACCAGAAAGGCTTTCAACTTTGATTTATATGTTGTAGAAAAGCCATAGTTATAAATCTAAATCTTTCAGGAACAGGGATAAACAGGGAACCCTATTTGATCTCATGTTTCTCATGTCACTTTCTAATGCCTAATCTAGGACCCTGATTAGCAGTACATGTAAGTTGCAAGTTCAATTTCCTGAAATATGAACCTTATTTGCAATAGTCCATAAGTCCATATTTTAAATTTTATTGCAATGTATCCATATAACAGATGAGGTGGAGCAGGTAAATTTGAGACTTTGAAAATTCCATCACTCATCCAAGGACTTCACAGCCAGGAAGTAGAAAAAGACCAAGGCAAGATTTGAACATATAAGCCTGACATCAAATACAACGCTTATATTTTCCTACTCTATCCTACTCTGACTGTTTATAAAAATGACCAATCATCACAATTTTTGACTGGGTCAACTCATTCAAGTTATGCTCCATTGATTCTAAATTTCTTATATTTAATCTACCTTGATATTCATTAGACTGCCTGGGAGCAAGAAAAAGATGCTGAGACCCTTCCTTCCCATTGGAGCACTCAATTTTCCACTCTTGGCTCTTTTACAATGGACCGACTTATTAAGAGCAAAAAAGAATGAGATGGTCAAATTAAGTTCCAATAATTTCATACCTAAATTGTTTTTATTGAAGTTATCACTGACTTTACATATTAGAAAAAACATGCTGAAAAGCTAGACTCTAAACAAAGATGCAAAGAGACAGAAAGAACACTTGGCTTACGTGGATCCACTCTATCCCACTTCTCAGTTTGAACAGTGTTTTTGCGCACACACAAGCACACTGCCTCTGCTTTCACGTTCTTCCATCTGCAGATCAGTATTTGCAAATGTCTTTTCTTATCAGAAAACACAGGTCCTTAACAATGAAGGTGGAGTCTTCTAGGGGAGGTGGAAAAAAGAGGCCCGAAGTCCCAACAAGATTCCTTTAGTTTGGTTCTAAATGGGATCTCTGTCCCACTTCAGGCTTTACTTCTGCCATCCTTGGAGCACAAGTTTCCTTTCCTCTAGCTAATTATGTTTTCAGAGAAAATGTAACTAAAGAACACAAAATTCTATAAAACATATTTCGATCCTTCTATGTAATTCTATTAATTTATGTAAGAGAATTATACATTCAATATGAAACTATAAAAGAAATTATGAACAAGAAATAAAAATTATCTTTTTATTTTATATTTGACAACCTAAGATTCCATCAAAGATCATTCTGTTTTAAAACTCTTTTGACTGGAAATCAACAGCAAATAAATTAATGGTGCCATTCTCTTAAATTAGGACCAGACTTTGATTTTAAAATGTACACTTATAGTAAAAAACAGAAATACTAAGAAAAAAGAAATATTTTCAAAAGTAGGTAATATCAGCTGGGGGTGGTGGCTCATGCCTGTAATCCCAGCACTTTGGGAGGCCGAGGCAGGTGGATCGCTTGAGGTCAGGAGTTCAAAACCAGCCTGGCCAACATGGTGAAACTCTCTTTCTACTAATAATACAAAAATTAGCTAGGCATGTTGGTGGCGTGTGCCTGTAATCCCTGTTACTTGGGAGGCTGAGGCAAGAGAATCACTGGAACCTGGGAGGCAGAGGTTGCAGTTAGCAGAGATCACGACACTACACTCCAGTCTGGGCAACAGAGTGAGACTCTGTCTCAAAAAAAAGAGAAAAAAAAGTAGGTAATATTATTCGAAATTAATTCTAAACTGAGACATAAGTAGACACAGGAACTAAAGATCATAAGCCTCCTGGTGTAGAATTAGTATTTTCTGAACATAAGTACCCTGAATATACTTTAAATGGTTCACATTTTAAATAGGAAATGACACTATTAACGTTGAATTTGAGGAAAAGCTAGAAAAAGATGACTAGAAAAACACTGTTTCCTTTTTTAGGTCAAAATAGAATTGACCACTATGAAAAATAATCTTTATTTTCTCCATCTGAGGCAGGAAAGGGGATCATTGTGAAACCACTGTCTGAGATATACACTTCACAGTTATGCCAAAATCATTTTGAGTTCAAAACTGAACTCCATTTCTCTCCCGAAATGGTTTCTCTTTCTTGGTTTCCTGTATTGAATTTTCTGTACTTACTCCCACTTCAAAAGAATGATCAGTACACTGGCTGCAACCTCTCTCACCTCTCTCCTAAGCAACACCTTCCACCACAAATGCAGTATTCCAATATTTCTTCTCTTATATTTACAGCATATTTGAGAGTTCAATAAGCATATTTACAGACATAATGACTTTTTATCCTAAAAATGACCCAGCCAAGGTGGGAGCTATTGTTATTATTCCTGATTAAAACTGAAAAACTAAGATTTGAAAGCAAATATGGACATGTGACAAACAATGTAAAATTTCATAACTGTATGTATTCTGCCAGACACTGAATTAGTCCTTGAAATTCAGGGATGTAAAATATTGTCTCTGACTTCCCAAACATAGGTCCCCTTCTTATATGACAGTATTATTTCTTCTCTGCTTTGTCCAGACAGGAAGCACAAAAGATACAACATTTTGTTAAATGGCACCAAAAATTAAAGATAACTATTTTCCAAGAGGCAGATTCTGGCAGCGTTGAGAACCTATTAGCTTCCCTAGGCATCTCCCCTGCTAATCCTCAGGCCAAAGGCCTGAATGACCTGACATTCTAAAAGAACCTCTTTGCTGCCTCTAAGGATGTTTCATGGAAACTTTTCTTCCTCTCATTGCTTCCAATTTGTACAGATTAAAATGAACTATTCCATTGGAAATTCAATCAAGGGCCACATCATGAAGCTCAATTGGCTGCAAGAAGGTATTTTTTCTTTCATCATTACAGTACATCTTACTTTGAATTGGGAGTGAATGACACATAATATTAAAATATCAAGAAATCATTTAGGTAGATTAGACTCATTATCAATTATTCTTGATTAATCAAACCAAGAATAACATGCATATAAGATAAAGGAAAAATTCACTTCTTAGGAGTAAGTATCTCTAAGGATACATTATAAAATAATTGTTCATATTTTCTTATCCAAGAGTGAGATAGAAGGTAATAATTGTAGTGTAATATCACTAACAAAAATATTATACATTCTCATTTAAAATACGCATTATGAAATATTCAAAACACGAAATATGCCAAACCACCTCTCATAGCATCAAACCAGTTGTTCCCTCTGTACATTCCTTCCTCTCTTCTCTTTGATTTGAACATTTAAGGGAGCTCCCTGCCTACACCAAATAAGAAACAAAGATTCAAAGATGCTGTTCTAAATGGTAGCGAAAGGCAACTGGATTGTTGAATCCACCACAGGGATCACTGTGCTTGAAGACAGACTCCTGAATTCTTCTCTGACTTGCTATTTAATAGTCCTGCTGGCTGGGCATGGTGCTCACGCTTGTAATCCCAGCACTTTGGGAGGCTGAGGTGGGCAGATCATTTGAGCTCAGGAGTTTGAGACCAGCTTGGGCAACATGAGAAAATTCCCTCTGCAAAAAATACAAACATTAGGGAGGCTGAGGTGGGAGCATCGCCTGAGCTCAGGAGATCAAGACTGCAGTAAGCCATGAGCGTGCCACTGCACTCCAGCCTGGGTGACAGAGTGAGACTCTGTCTCAAAAAAAAAAAAAAAAAAAAAAAAAGTCCTGGCATATAGGCATATAGTATGCACTCTCTTTCCCTCCAAAGAGGGTTGTAAACTTAGCCAACCTACCTGATGGAGGGGCCTAAAAGAAAACAACTTATTCCCTAACTAAAGTGGAAGTGAACTGAACCAGTCGATTTCTCTGTGAGCAGAGTAACAACAGATATAATATTGCTTACCAAAAAAAAAAAAAAAAATATATATATATATATATACACACATATATATCCAACACTTGTGAAACAACCACCCAACTTAATAAATAAAACACCATCAATAATGTTGAAACTATGTACCTCTCCATCACATCACCTTCCCTTTTCCCTCTATTAATTGCTAGTCAGATTTTTGCATTTATCATTGTCATGTGCTTCACAGTTCCTTTTTAAGAGTGCAATATTCAAATTCCTCTTCATGGTCTATAATATACCATCAACAGGAGGTCAACAGGGTATATACAATGTAGATGCTCAAGACTCAATGTGTATTGACAGGAATATCAATACAACCCAGTTTATACATAATTATCTAAAGTTTTTAAGTAGTATAGCTGCAATTTATATTGCATTTTATTTTTAAAAATCACCATAAATATGATGCAAGCAACTGAGCCAATCACTGGGGCCCTGGTTGTCAGCAGCATTACCCCTGGAGGGCAGTTTTTTTCAGTGATAATATTCTTCACTTTGCTCCCAGTCAGTGTCATTCAGCTTATTCTTCTTTGGTGGCCCAAAAGCTTCACTTGTCTCACTAACTCAGCAGCCAAGAGCAAGTTCTATCTTCAGAATCTGGGTGATATTTTGAGAAAATAAAACTATTTCTTCTCAGCAAGCCTGTGCATACGAGCAGTCAGGGACTGATTTTCTGGTTTATAGATTATCTAAAACCCTTTGCTCCTTTTTTCTTGCTTTTGGCCATTTCACTGCTCATTAGTATTGCCACTGAAGGGTAGACAGGAAAAATAAAAAGAAAAAATCAAAGCAGCCAGTTTTGCTATTTATTAACTGTTTATTAACCACAGCATGAACTCTTGTGGAGAAAAATAGAAGCACTGGACAGTTAGTTTGCGAACAATCTGTTATGTTCAGTTTTCAATGTTTTCCCTGTTTTCAATTACACCTATATAATTAAAAGTCTATATAAATATGTTTTCCTAATAATAGTTATGCCACTTGTAAAGAAACTTTATTTTACTTCTGCCATGAGGTAGATTATTCTGTCATGGTCAAAAGTCATAAATGTCAAATGTCATAAATGTCAAATGTCATAAAACTGTCATTTTCACTGATGTTTTATACATACAGCAGTGAGGATAGATTAGTAATATGAAAGAACAGTGTACTATTAACTTCAGAAGTGAGAGTAAAAAAGGCAATTTTATTTTTCTATACCCAAGAAATCATGCTTAATGCAATATCTGATATACAGTATTAAATTTAGAAAAGATCTCATTAGCTTAATTAATTACCAAATAACCACATCTTAACGCCTCCTCCTTCATTACTTAAGCTTGCATGAGAATTACTGACATCTATTTTTAAAAAATAAAAGAATTAAAATAATAAAAAATTCTTCCTTAGATCTGAAATTGGCATGATTGTATTTACTTTGTAGCCTATAGCTACAATATGGTGAACCATCAGAAAGCTGAGAAATGAGATTTCTACTATAAAGACCATTTGTATGTGATAACCTCCTGATCCCATTTCTATGTCTTTTTCTGAAATATATGTTTTTATGGCACCTTTAGGCTACTATAAAAATGGCATTTATTGAATTATCACAATCTCCAGTGCCATAGTAGACCACAGTCGTTCAGCTGGGAGTTCTGAATTGTTCTACCTTCAGCTTCCTAATGTTATAATATTTTCTTAGAAGGCAGATACTCCTGAAAGTTCTAAGGATATGAAACGTGTCTTGTTTCAATGATCTGTATTCTTATAACCACACAATAGGTGTAAAAAAAATCTGGTGACACACCCAAAAATGTCACGTTATGGTTTCATGTAACCCTAAATTGATATGTTCTGCAAATGGAATATGAGATTTGAGTCATAATTTCTCAGCTTGAAATTAATGGATTATAGAAAATGTCCAAAACTCACCATGACTACACCACAAGAGAACAGAAGAGCAGTCCCTCTTACATCTGTGGATGAAGCATCACCCACATTAATAAGGTGTTAAAAATTGAAAAACCATTTAAGAAGAAATGTATAATGGTTCTTATATAGGCCATGCTTCTACTGGGCTATGCTGAGAGTTGTTGGTATATCTAAAAAGAAAATTCAATGGTTTCTGTTATTTCCATTCACAGAAGCAGCAAAGAATATCTGGATTCTGAGTAGCAAGACAGCAACTGCCACTAAACCACTAACCCAATTTTGTTGGTTGTCAGATTGCAGAGATTATTAGAAGCAGGAATCAGTCTTCTGGATTTTAATTCGCTTTAAATGTCATACAACAGAACAACAGAACGGGTTCTCTTTTCTTTTTTTTTTTTTTTTTTTTTGCTTTTTGTTTTTGTTTTTTTTTGAGTTGGAGTTTCACTCTTGTTGCCCAGGCTGGAGTGCAATGGTGCGATCTCAGCTCACTGCAACCTCCACTTCCTGGGTTCAAGCAATTCTCCTGCCTCAGCCCCTGAGTAGCTGGGATTACAGGCGCACACCACCATGCCCAGTTAATTTTTGTATTTTTAGTAGAGACGGGGTTTCACCATGTTGGTCAGGCTGATCTTGAACTCCTGACCTCAGGTGATCCACCCGCCTCAGCCTCCCGAAGTGTTGGGATTACAGGCGTGAGCCACCGTGCATGGCCAGGACTAAGTTCTCTTGTCTCACCAAAGCTACTAAGGTATTACCTGGTCTTTGGATTTTAAGATACTAAGTCAATCAATGACATGACATTTTAATGATGTTGAAGTTATATATAGTAAACACTTCACCAGTTTTAGGGGTTCATTCCAACTTAAGTTTGGATTTAAGTCCACGCAGCATTTCCTTCAAATGATATTTCACCACCCCAAGAAGCTATGAACTAGTAAATAGAAAATATCTTTCAATGTTCTGTATTTCATCAATTAAGTTCCTAGGCTCCAGCCAGAACACAATTTGCTTTTTTTGTGAGTCATTGCTATTCTCAAACTATAAGACTCCTACCCTCTCATTGTTCAAATATTCCATATTTACATATCAATTAACAGATGTATCAGAGCAGAAACAACCATCTGACATCCATATCACATTGTTTCCATATGATGAAATGTTTTTATAGAGGACATAACACTTACAACAACAAAGAACACAAAAAATATAATTCACCTGCTATTAGCATGCTTATTTTAGTACAGATATTATTATTTTAGGTGCAAAATCAAAATACACAACTTATGGTTATATTAATACTAATGAAAGAACTAAGATTCATATTCAAAAGGCTGAATTCTGAGGTTACTAAATTTAGAACATTTCCTTTCCTCATGTCCACCTATGACTGAAAATCTATCATCCATTGTTTAGCACAAATAAGTAAAAGATCCATAAAAGGAAATATTTAAATGTGTCACAGAAATCATATGAATATGATATGCCAAATGAATTTATTGTATCTATTTAATTTCTATGCTGCAATGATAAACTTTGCCCTGTAATTACTACACGTTGAGTATCCTTTACCTGAAATGCTTGGGACTTGAAGTGTTTTGGTTTTCAGAATTTTTTCAGATTTTGGAATAGTTGCGTATAAACAATGAGATATCTTGGGGATAGTACTAAATGTAAACATTAAGTTCATTTATGCTTCATATATACCTTACACACATAGCCAGAAGGTAAGATAATTTCATACAACTTTTTTCTATAATTTTGTGCATCCACCACATGAGGTCAGGTGTGGAATTTTCTATTTGTGTTATGATGTCAGTGTTGAAAAGTGTCAAATGTTGGGGCATTTGGATTTTAGATTTCTGGATTAGGTATCCTCAACACATATATCCTTTTTGTCCCTCTACACATTAAAAACTTTTTAAAAAAATGTTTCCAAAGTGATGTTTGAAGCAAATCAAATTCATAACAGAATGCACTCAGAGGAAATTTACAATGGATTTAAATTTGTCTATTATAACAAGAATTTTATGCATTTTAATACCACTAACAGAATAGAAATATTGTGTGTTCCTGGAATTAGTACATTACCAAATGACTAAATATTTATGACATTTGTAATGTTATAGCAATACTATGTAAAATGTAATCTGCTCTTAAGTTCAGATAAAAAATTTCTATGAAATTTGAATGGCAATCTGGGAAACTAAATGAAATCTAAACTCTAAACTTGTCTCTCAGGTTAATTTCAGTGTGTTTGGCCTGGTGTCACTTGATCCAATTTATAAAAGAAAAAGAAAAAGAAAAAAAAACAGATTTCCTTTCTATTTGAACGTTTTCTATCCAAACTCAGGAATTATATAAGTTGAAAGAAAAAGGTGTATCAATTTTAAATCATTTTACTGATAATTCTCTTAGGACTGAATATTCAGAAAATTACATATATATACCAATGCCCAGCTGTAAAAGGAAATCCTTCCCTTAACCTAATATCCCCTTCCTTACCACTTTCTTATGACAAAACTCATAGAATTCCTCATATTCTATTAAATCTTCGGGTTCTCTACAATCAGTATTTTGTCACTTGTAGTCCACTAAGAGCACTTTCTTTAAAGTCATCTTTGTCCTCAACATTTTCAAGCCCAGCAATCAAATCTCCATTTGCATACATACAATTCAACAGGGTTTCTCACTTCTCCTTCTAGAATTACTTTTCTCACATGGCTTCCAGAATACCATGTACTCCTGGTTTTCCTCCTGTCTCCCAGGCTACTAATATTTCTCTTTTCCTGCATCCGCTGCTCTCCTTGGACTCAAACTTTTGGAATGCTAAATGACCTAGTCTTGGAACTCTTCTCTCTCTGCACGTCTTCCCCTCCATTCCTTTATTTTTATTTATTTTATTATTATTTTCTTTCTTTTAATTTTACTTTTCCCTAAGTTATTGGGGTACAGGTGGTATTTGGTTACATAAGTAAGTTTCTTTAGGGGAGATTCGTGAGAACCTGGTGCACTCATCACCAAAGCAGTACACACTGCACCATATTTGTTGTCTTTTATCCCCACCAACCCTTCTTCGCAAGTCCCCAAAGTCCACTGTATTATTATTATGCCTTTGTGTCCTCATAGCTTAGCTCCCACATATCAGTGAGAACATACAATGTTTAGTTTTCCATTCCTGAATTACTTCACTTAGAATAATAGTCTCTAATCTCATCCAAGTCATTGCAAATGCTGTTAATTCGTTCTTTTTTATGGCTGAGTAGTATTCCATCTCATATACACACACACACACACACACACACACACACACACACACACATATCAGAGTTTCTTTATCCACTCATTCTTTGACAGGCATTTGAGTTGGTTCCATGATTTTGCTATTGTGAATTGTGCTGCTATAAACATGCATGTTCAAGTATCTTTTTTGAATAATGACTTCTTTTCCTCTGGGTAGATATCCAGTAGTGGGGTTGCTGCTGCATCAAATGATAGTTCTACTTTTAGTTCTTTAAGAAATCTCCACACTGTTTTCCATAGTTGCTATACTAGCTTACATTCCCACCAGCAGTGTAGAAGTGTTCCCTGACTGCCACATCCATGCCAACATCTACTGTTTTTTGATTCTTTGATTATGACTATTCTTACAGGAGTCTATATTTACAATGATATATTCCCCAAATGTACAGCTCAAATCCCAAACTCACCTCTTAATTTCAGGATCATATAATAAACTTCCAATTTAAACTCTCAAGTTTGATGTCTAATACAAAATTTAATAAATGCACATTTTGATTTGTACCCTAAACTTGCTCATGCCCCCATATTCCGAATATTAGTCAACAGTAACACATTTACTCCATGTATTTGGGTAAAATACCTTGGAAGCCTCTTTACTTTCTCTGGATCTCTCCCACCTGGCTCATCTATCAGAAAATCCTGTTTTTCCGATCTTCACATTATGTCCACAATCTGATAACTGTACATTTAGCTAAGCTACCACCTTGATCCAATTTGCTATTGTCAATTTATACTTCTACTCTATCCAGTGCACTTAAGCAAAGAATGTTATCTTTCTAAAATACAAACTATTTCATATCACACATTTTATCTTAACCCAAATATACCTAGAAGATTTAAATACCTTACCATGGCCTGTAAGTCCCTACAGAATCTTCCTCAGTGCCCTCTCAGACCCCATTTACTTCCACTTCCTGCTTTTCTCACTGAACTATACTCCAATTGCCTTTGAATATATTTCTTAAGTAAACTAAGCAGATTTTCTTAGTGTCTTATCTCATGGCCGTCATTCTTGCTATATCCTCTGACTGAATTATTCTTCATCAGATATCCACATGGTTCACATCCTTTCTTTGGATCAAGTCTCTGTTCCAATGAAAACATACTTTGTCACCCTTCATTCCCTCATTTTGCTTCATAGCATTTATCAATATTTGACATTACATCATATATTTTCTTATCTGGTTGCCTCTTCCATGAGAATGTAAGTTCCTTAAATACAAAAACATAGCTTGTTGGTTCAACATTTTAATTTTAGAGACTAAAAGCAATGCTTCATACAGAGTAAATTCAGAATAAAATGTTTGCTGAATAAAAGAATATTCTCCCAATTAGCACACATACTACATGTTGGTAGTAATGCTTATATTACCATATACTTTCAGGAATATTAACTTCTAGAATTATAATGACTTTATTAATGAAGCAAATATCTTATTTAAGCTTACTTATGAAAAAAATCAGGTACTCTGCTCAATAAAATGAGATTATTTTTTAAAATAGTACTTTTAATTATTTTAGTTTAAAGAAAAACATATGCAAATTGCTATTGTAATATAATTTACTACCTAATGTTTTTCATTTTAAAAATCTGTTAATAAGGAACTTGACTACAGAGTGATTTAAGAATATTTAAGACCATAAGTAGGCCTTTGGTGCTTAGCTTCTGGTGTTCACTTGGCTTCCCTGTATCTACTCAAGAAGCTTTCGGGGTCAACTCAGCCTCAGCTTCACATTGATGACTACTTGGTGAACAACAGTAGGATAAAAGCATAAAAACCTGAAGCAGGAGTCCAGGATAGTGAAGAACTTTGAATTGGTTGCTTTCTTTATACTCTACTTTTGTTTGTAGTGATATAAAGCATATGTTAATATTCCTGATGCACTCCCAGTTTGCAAATTCTAAAGGCAAGTGTACATACACAATGATAGTTGATACATAAGACTATTCATCCCTCCAATTAGTGTTAAACACTAATTTTGCAGTGTTCTATAGGAGTGATGCTGTAGGTAACACCTTGGTACTAATAATAGACAAAACGAAAACAAAATCGAAAACAAAAAACAAATCCAGCTCTCTCAATCAGATACTAGTTATCCAGAATACCTGATGAAGAAATGTACATAATTCTTGTTTGCAACAAAGACATCTTCAATTTAAAGAGTTCTTAACTTGTGTAATTAAGATTTCATGTTCCTTATTTCCCCTTGTATTTCCTTTTTTGAAGGTCACTCTAAGGCAGCTATTAAATATAGCCACACTTGACTGTATCTCTTCTCCCAATTCCTTTCTGTTCCTCCTTAAATATAGCAATTGTTCTCCATTTAGTTCATATAATCTTAGAGATTAAATGAACATTAGTCTAAATCTTATTTTAGGGTTGATAAAAATGAAGACTAAAAATTAAATAACTTTCCAATGTATTCAATTAGCTATTTATAAATTGAGATTTAGTCCAATACCTTCTAAATTCTAATCCAGAATACTTTTTTTTATTATACCTTAACATTGCCCATATGTTTGTCAAATTCTCTGAAATGTGTGTCCACATCAATATGCTAAAATTTGCCAATTTAATGACATGAATCCATAGATGTTCTAATAATCAATTCCAGAACTGTTTAGTATTTTTTCTTATCTTTTAGACATCTGTCTAATCATTTAATTTTCCAATAATTAATGAACTTTGGCATAGGGCAAAATCTAACATAAGACAAACCATTCATTCAGTTAAACTAGTGTTGCATTCTCTAATAATGTGAGTTTGCCAATGTTAAAACTAAATTATCAGATTAAAAGTTGCCCTAAATTTCATCCTCCATTATTCTTATAATGAAATATGCTAGAAGGAAGATAGTGCCTTTTTACAAAACAAATAAATTACTATGTGAGAATAGTTATGAGTTTTACATGAACAAATAAACCCTATAATTGTGGTACTTGTAGTGATAGTAGTGGTGGAGGTGCAACTATGCAAGGAATCGATACAATGCATACAATTAACCAGGCAAAAATTATCTGAAAACATATATGGTCATTCATAAAACTCAATGGTTGACATTATTTTTAGATGTATTTGTGTCCATGTGTTTTTTTTTCCCCACAACTCTATTTTCATATGTTTTGTCTCAAAAACAACAATCAGTTTGGGACCTCAAGTATCCCATAGGTAAGCAGAGCTACCACCGTTAGAAGCTGCTTAACAAACTACTTTATTCACTAATGTGTGTTTACTCCAGCAGTATTAAACACACTTGCATCCTTCCAGGTGTCTTAGATTTTATTCATAGAGAATAAGTATTAGTTTAAGAAGATATTTCTCTCCTATTTTAAATATAAGAAAAAAAATTGTATCACTAGGTCTAGCAATCTAATTTGTTTAGAGGGTATCAGGTGTGTTGATATGTCCTAGCATTAAATTCTTACAAGAATAAGAGACAGGGATCATATTTATTTTTCTAGTTTGAAAATAAAAACTACCTATTTTCTTACAGCATCACAAACCTCATTAAAATGACATTTTTTTCTGAGATTTTTAAAAATATTTCATGTGGTTTTCAAGTAGTACTAAAAAAAAAAATACAGCTCAGAATGCAGTGACACCTAATGGCAAAGATATCTTTATAGGCCATAAATGTATTTTCTAATAAACATTATACTATAGTAATACATTCTAAGTATTGCTACTCACCAATATGCTGTCTGTAATCTAAAATATCATGATGATCCAATAGAAATGTGAATATCTTACTTTTTAAAATAAAGTCATATACGTAGGTGTAGGTGAAGAAAAAAAACTTCTGGATTAAAAAGTGTGCTTTTGAAATTGCAATGGCCCTTTAAGATAAAATTACCATATGATAAAATTAGCCTGAGATATCAGAATGGAATAAAATGTATCTTCCATCACTCCTAACAATTTCAATTGGCTTTTATTTTTTAATAAATCAAAAGTTAATCACCTGGATTTTTATTCCTATTTGGCTTAAAATTTATAACAGATATTTAGTGGATGTACATTTCACCTGGCGTAGAAAGCAAAGGCCCTTAGTGTAATGGCTTATTAGTCATGTCATAGTTGGTATCTTTGATTAATAACAACATTGTCTAACTTAATACACACTTGAATTGTGCTTCAAATAACTGTATTAATGATACAGAGAAGAATAGTAAAGCCAAGTCCCTTAGTACATTCTAGACGTTTACACAGTTATCAAGAACTTCAGGAACAAACAACTACTATAAGTAGAAAAAGGATAAAATATCATTGAGACATCTTACACAATCCAAAAAATCCTTGAGGAGTCCTGGGGGTTATCATTAACCAATGCAAATCATGTAGTCAACTGAAAAAAAAAAATGGTAAAAGAACAGCACATCTTCTGGGAATGCTTTTATATGCTGTAATTGTCAAAATAATCCTTAGTGCAGAAGTAAGAATAACTGGTATTTTACATTTACAATCTATTATTGTTTTTAATGTGTTGACACCTTTTATTTACCCGATTTTGTACTTTAATTTGAACATTCTCATAGTGAAAATATTCTGTGGATTATCTTAGGTTTCTCAAATATAATATCACAGCTGATTATGATTTCAGAGGATAAAGTATCATCTGTTTGTGAGAAAAACATGAATAAATGCATCTTTTCTACTCCATGTTGACATAAGGTATTTTACTATGACTGAAAACAACAAAAATATGCTAGTGATTTGTATAATATATGAATAAGTACACTGTTTGAGTGTTCCCTTGTAGAGATGTATAACTGAGGACAGCTAATTTACAATCAGTTCTGTGAGCACAGGAACCAGATAAAGAAAGGAGCATATATTAAACTGTTAAAACATGAGATCTTCCATAGTTGATATGAAGCAAAACACAAACTGTGCAGTTGACTGGAAATGCCACCTAATCCCTGCTGAATTAAAGCAGTGCTCTAAACTCCTGTTGTGTTTAGGGAGTAAAGAGTGTGGGACGACTGATGTATGAAGAAAATAGCAGTCAGCGTGGCTAATCTCAAAGACTTTGGAGCTTTCTAGCTACATAAATCAGAGCGACTTCTGAATAGCCTCATAAAACACAGTATCATTGCCATTCCACTCACGACTTTTTGGTTCTTCCTACAGCATGCAGATCATTAGGAAACTTCTAAGCAATCAAGTAATGTGGGTCTGATGAAATTACTCAATCAATGCATAGGCTCAAAGTAGAAGCATAATTCAAAATTGCATAGTTTTTATATGTCAAAAGACCTTTCTTTAATTGGGGCAAAGAAGATCACAATGGAAGTGATTCATTTTTAAATACTATATGGTTGTGTATCTGTGTGTGGATGTGTATTAAAAATATACGTAATGATTAAATATTTTTAAATATTTGAAACTCAAAGTAATCATAAAATTGTGCATTTTTGACTAAAATAAATACATTTTCATTTCAATCATTATGGTTTAACCATTATGTTTCATCACTGTAGTGAATCAATATGTTTAACAAAACATATTAGAGTTTAAAATGTGTAATTGACCTTATTAAACTACCGGCATGAGGTAAAAACTGAAGAGAAAGAGAGAAAGAAGGAGATGATTTTCATGTATATATAAGTTGGTTCAATACCAAAATAATTCAATATATAAAAAGCCTCTTAGAGCAGTGTCTTTTCATCTTTCCAGTTTGCCTGAACTACATATTGCAGCTACTTTCTGCTTGAACACATCACATGAGGCTGGGAAAACCTTTCATTTCTGCATATCTCCTTCCATCGCTAGAGGTGAAATATTCCCTTTCCCTCCAGTTTCATCACATTCATTCCTTCAGTCCTGAACTAATATATTTCCCCAGAAACATATTTCTCACATTAAATATTTAAATGAAGGCAACACCTCCTAAAGAAAATTAATTCTTTTCCTATTCAAACAAGTAAGGAAACTAATCCAATTCATGTTAACTGGTGCTTTACAATTTTAATATGGACATTCGGTTTTGAATTTACTATACTTTTGCTGAGAGTAGGGGTGGAGGCACTGAATTACACACATACTACCCGTCATCATTTTTTATTTTTTTAATTTAGGAGTTAATGTTTTTCGATATATTATAAAAGATAAAGTTTTTGAAACAATTTGCTAGCCTCATGACAATATTAGGTAGTCTATAAAACAGCTAATTATCTCATCTAATGTACTAATTATATTCAAGTCAAATTAATTGTCTCAGAAGTAACTATATCTGTTAGTAGGATATACACAGTTAATGTATACAACCAACTTTCTAAAGAAATCTGTAATTTGTACACAGTTAATTTTTAAATGTGATTATAGCCACTCTGACAGACAACAGTATACAAACTAAAAAATACAACAGTTTTGTTCTATTTTGAAACAGATGTCCAGACTGCATTGCAAAATAATATTTAACTAGTAAGGGATAGCAAAAGCTGTAGGTATTTGTAAATAATGTATTTATCATGCAGACCACAGAATAAGCGATTTAAAAAAAGCATTCTTCCACAGGCTTTCCCTCCTGAGAGATGAGGAGCCTACATCAGAAATCCCTAATCATACAATGAATATAAAGGTATTATGATTATATATCTGCATTCCTGCTCCAATCATTTACAACTAGATATAAATGTATGCCATTTCTCTAAAAGGAGCATAGTTCATTTCTGAACTCTATCAGAACATTGCTGAACCACTCAATGAGACCATAATTTCTTGCTGAAAAGTTCTGAATCTGTAGGCACTGTTAGCCCCCAGGCAAAACGGGATCCAGCAGGCAAGCTATTAGTGCTTGACTTACTTAATGCACAAACGCTAGGTTTTCTGAATCCTGACCTCATTACCCCTTGCACAGAGACAGACAGTTCTACTGATATAAATGATAGAGAATGGCAGACATGTTTACAAAGACAGCCTCTGAGACCAAGAGAGGGAGCCCCCTGGAGCGGAGGGGCTGGCCACTGTGGGCGCGCACGCTAGACAGAAATCCCTCGCTTGGGCGGGCACAATCGCCACCTGCAGCAGATTCCCCTACCAGGAGTATGTGTACGTGCGTGTGTGTATGTGTATGCGTGTTGTGCGGTGGAGAAGCAGGGGTACAGAAAGGGGAGAAGCTGTGACCCATCTGTCGCCTCAATTTGCAGAACACCAAGCCATGCGTACAGATAAAAGTCCTGTGCCCAGAAAAATTCCCCCAAAGGGACCTCTCTGCAGCCCAGCAAAGAAACCTTGCTGGCTCGGTAAGCGAATTTCCGAAAAAGAAATCGTCGCATTAACGCAGAAAAGGCTGCAAGAGCCTGTCTCCCGCTCAGCTCTCACGGATTAGCAAGTGAGTAGAGTTGGAGCCTGAAGCTGCGAGCGCTGTGCATGATAATGACGCGCAGCCCCCCGCCCGCCCCTGCTCGCCGCGGCCAGTCCCGGCCCGTCTGGTTGCCAATAGGTGGGGCCACCAGCATCTCGGAGCCCGCTCGGCAGTCCTTCTCAGAGTCGCGGCCCGCAGTAGTCCCGGCGCCTTCGCTGTCTGCCTTGCGCGGCTACTCGGAGTTGACTGCGAGGCGAGGCGAGGCGAGGCAAGGCGGATATCTGCTAAGCAGACCTCGGGAGCAGCCTGCGCGCATTCGCTTCCCCGCGTTTCCCAAGCGCCCCGGGGTCAGTTTCGCCGCCGCGCCAGGCCCCGGGAGCGTGTCCGAGGAGGCGAGGCACGCGACAATCAGTCCTTGGCGACACTGCCGCCAGCCCCTCCTGCCACCGTCTCAAAGACTACACGCAAGGATCATAAAGCCAAGAAGATGTGAGAAGAGAGGGTGGCTGGGGGCGCATCCGGCACCCCCGTCACCATCGCACTAAGCTGCGGCGAACTCAGCCGGCTCACGTTGCAAAACCACCTGTTCGATCCGAAGGGAGCTCCCCCTACCCCCCAGCCCAGTTCTTTTCATCTCACAGGTGACAGCTTCTCTGCTCCCCCAAAGATAAATTTTTAAATGGAGCAAATGTACATCCGGGAAAAAAAATATGGAAGATAAGAGTCAATTAAACTCCCTTTCCCCACACACTTAGAATCCCCCTGCAGTTCCCAGCACACACTCACACTCAGGTCAACTCGAGACCCCCACGCATCCAGCCACATTCCACGAATCACTGCAAAACAACAGCACAAGTCAGTCGAGGTTCGAGCATCCACATCCTTTCAGAAAACTGAGCAAGTGTGAGGGAAGGGTAGCGGGAAGGGGCAATGAACTGAAGCCACCTCCAACAAGACACACAGAGACCGGAGAGGGGGAAAGCGAAGGGGAAACATTTGAGAACTGAAACGGTAAAAGTAACCACGAGCTGCACCAACACTTTCTTACCGATGTGAATGATCGAATCCGCATTCGCCGAGTCCCAGGTTCGAGACCACCAGACGGACAAAACCAAGAGAAAGGGGAAAACTTCCATCTCCTCCTATGCCGATTCTCTTGGAGGATGGATTTTCTTCCAATTTTTTTTTTTTCAAACAGTCCAAAGAGTTTGAGGTCACGGTGGAGTTTAGCGCAGCTTTTTCTTTTTTTCTAAATTCCTATTGCCAGAGCAAAGCCTTTTATCGTCGCCGAGAAAGGCAGAAGGGAATGACAGAAAGAGCCCAGCCTGAGGAAACCTCCTTCGCAAAGCCGTGTCACTTGGAGGGGAATTTTGGCATCGCCAGAGTTGTTTGCAGTTTGGCTTTTGAAAAATATATCCAGCCTCTACTGCTCTTGGGCAGGGGGAGAGGCTGGGGCTCAGATCAGACCCATCGCTGCGCGGGGGCCGCGGGTCTCCGGTCCCAGCTCCGCTGCAACTTCCAACACCCCCCTCACGCCGGATGTGCCCCCTTCCCCGCACCCTCTCGGACCAAAAAAGACCCCCGCCCCCGCCCCTACAGCCCGCAGAGAATCACTGGTCTTCGCTGCCAGAATCTAAGTGGAAAGGAAAGATTAGGAGATTCCAAACGGAGCAGCCAGATTCCACCAGGGAGGGGGGAAAAAAGCCCTCTCCAAGAGGGGTAGAAAAAGTGAACTTCAAGGTAATGCAGATAGTAATGCAGAGAAAATTCCCTTTCTGCGTGAGGCGCGGAACGCAGCTTGGCGAGGCGGGCCCGGGGAGCCGGTTTGCTGGGGCGCGGTGGCGGGGGGGTTGCGCCGGGCGCGAGCAGCGGGGCCGGGCCAGAGGAGGGAAGCCGCCGCAGGCTGCAGGATGCTTTTGGAGCGTTTCGCCTGGCGGGATGCAGGAAGCAAGGAGCGAGCCTGGCAGCTTCAGCACCAGCCCCACGTTGCCTAGAAATGGATCACCTAGGAGAAGGAGCGAGCCTGCGAGAGAGCGGTGCTGTCAGGCGGAGAGAGGGGGAAACCAAGAGAGGAAGAGCTTCTCTCTAATAACCACCTCCTCCCCCTATCTGCAATACAAGGGAGAAACAAAATAGTGCTCTCATTTCCCATGGAATCTTCAACCGGGACTGAGAAAAAGGCAGGACTGTAAAAAGACATTGAAGCTTTTTTTTTCCTTTCTTTATTTTACGAGGTTAAATGCAACCTAAAAAAGCCACCCCACTTATTTAACCTTGCTATTCTCTAACAGGTATCAGACTTTTTCTAGTCTTTGCCTGGAATTAGTCACATTGGTTGAAAACAAATTAGGGACACCTGGTCACTTAGGGAAATACAGACCTAGAAAGCTTTTAATGAGATTTCAATTATAAAGTTATAAAAAGGAGAGAACGTGCTAATTACCTTTTATACAATGATTTTTTTTTTCTGTCTCCAGTGTATTTTTTAGGCAATCAGGATAGAGAAAGGTTCCTGAAATCCTTTCTATTGATAGAAATTCTTCTCTATCAGGATAGAAAAGATCTTGAAATTAAAATAAAAAAGCAGAATAATTAAATAAAACAGAAAAATTTTTCATAAACATTTGGTCAAAATATTTCATTGAGTAGCTTAATAACCTATGTAGATAAATTCCGAATGAGGAAGTTGGGTACTCTCTTCCATGGAAAAAGCTGAGGAAGTCCTGAATGACAGCCTCTCAGTCTCCAGTGAAAGGATTTTCTGCAAGCTTATTCCTTAAGATAAAATCCTGATCATTGTGACTTCTTTTCTTATAATGATTGACTTATGTCAATCTGGCCTCATTGCAAACTGAAGATTTGTTAACACAATCGAGTGACTAGTCGAGGTCAGGTATTAATGTCATAATATTGTCTCAGTTATAATTGGAATTCTTTAGGAATGTTGGATGTGTGGATGTCAAGCTCATTACACAACCTTTCAAAGCCTTACCTCCAAGTTTGGCAAACCTCTTTTCCTCCCGTTCCCTCACTTGAGCCCTTCTCTCTAGCCTTCTGAATTGGGTTACTATTTTTCCAGACACAGTTGTACATTCTCACTTCTGGCTGTTTTCATTCATCTTGTACACTTTTTCCTGAACATTCCAGAAAATGTTTTGCTGCCATATTTTTACTTATGTTAATATTTCTGCTTGGAAAGCACGTATTTGTCCTCCCAACCACTCTCCTTCACCATCTCAAGGGCTAGTTCAAATTCCTTTTGCCCATGAAGTAGTGTCCAGTCCTTTAATGTGGAATAAATCCATCTATCTTCTATGCTGTCGTAACACACCCTATTTTGTATTAGAGTTAGACAGAACTACTACTAAGTTAGATCATAAATGCCTTGAGAGTGAAAACCAAAGCTCATTCACATTTTATTCAACACAGCATTTTACAGAGAACCCCTTTGTTGACTTGAATTTCATCACTTCCTTCTGAATCTGGAACAAACCAGTGCTTCCAAGAAGCATTCACTGATTAATTACTCTCAATTTTGATCATTCTCTTATCTTTTGTTTCCATTAGTAGACATTGACTCAATATTGATTATATTAATGTTGGTGTTAATGTCATTTTACTTTATAAAGTGTTTTGATGCAATTCCATAGATTATACTTTGCTTATTCAGATAATGAATTGAAAGAAGAGATGCACTCCCCATAGCTTCCTTCAAATATTATTTACAGTGACATTCTAAAAATTGGTAAGTCATTATGTATTCTATCAAGAAAAATTATAACCATTTAACATGGAAAGAACACCATGATATCTTAGAATAAGATAACTAGGAAGAACTTCAGAGCATTAACTAGTCCAGTCCTGGCTAATGAGTATCTGTCCTGGAGAAAGTCAAATATTGTATAGTCATATTCATACTATTTCCCCTCTTGGAAATGTTTTAGTGTACTGTGAGCAAAGCATTTTCATTATTCCCAAATCCTCCAGTTTAGTAGTTTTCAAATGTAGATTCACTTTGAAATAATCTGAGAAGCTTTTTAAAATGGTCACTTAAGGCTAATTTAATCAGAATCTCTGGAGTTTGGGACACAGCCTGTAATATATTCTAAAAGCCTCTATACAGGGCTCTGCTATGCAGCCATAGTTCAGAATCACTGTTCTAATACTCAGACATTTAAATGAGTCTGGGTGACACATCAAAAAAAGCCCTTAAGGTATAATGACCACTCCTGCCAATCAGAAGAAACAGTAGAACAACAAGTTTTGGCTTTCCAAAAGTTACACAAGAAAGTTAGTATAAATTTAACATTGGCTGTTTGATTTTTCAAGAATAACAATCAGTCTTTTTACTGTTGAAATAATTTCTACATTCAATGATTCCTAATTAATAAATATATAATAAATATATATTAACTATATTTTCTACTACTTTAGAAAATTGTCTGTCATAATGTAATATGTAGTTAGCTGGATACAAATATTTATAATGTGTGAGTTAGATGTTAAATTCCAGAAGAAAAAATATGAATTCACTAGCTGTGCATATTAAATGTTTTAATGACAGCTATCTGTTGGTCTCATTAAGGCTGCTTAACTTTAATTCAAGCCTTATTATATGGAAATAAGTGATGTACCTGGCCCACTGTACTTAAATTCAAACCTTGTGAAATTCTGGCATGTATTGGCAGGAAAATACCCTCATTAACTAAAGTTTTATAACAAATGATTAACTATTTAAAATAAAATGTAAGTAAATCATGTTTGTTGAGTTTATTCTTCCAAGGTGGAGACTGTTACTTCATTCAGGCATCGATCATGATTTGAACATCAATTATTTGAAGAAATGATAGATTATCTGAACTACCCCAAGATTTAAACTAATATGCCTATTTTTCTTTGAAAAGCAGAATTTTTGAGAAAAACTGATTTGCATTGGAGGGGAAACTACAAATGCTGACTGCTTCAATCATGCACAATTGTGGAAAGAAAGCAAGGTAATAGAATAGAAATTCTTGGAACATATAATTATTTCATTTTCACTGTTAAAACTGCTAAGAATACCAATGCTTAAATTTTAAAAATCAGCTGCTCATTGTTATAACAGCAGTAAATCAACTTACATTGGTCAATTTTAACGAACTGTTCAATTATATTTTAATGACTCATGAGTTTTATTTTGTTTTAGTATAAAGATCTATGAATTTATGAGTCAACTTATTTGAAACTTAAAAGAGTTGGTTTTTAAAATAATATCATCAAAATGGGACACAATAAATTCTGATCATTATTTCTAATTATTTATGATTATATTATTCATATTACAAATATGGCTAGTCACACAAAAGATTCCAAGTACATTTCAACCTTAATATGAGCATGAAAGGAAAACTGTTAAAAGGCAAAGACTGATCATCTATAGATGCAAGTAGTTGTGATAAATGGCTGTAAAATTGTAATTGGGATATTTATTTGCAGATGTGAAAAACATAAATTCCCTTTGGTTGAGGGACTGAAAGAGTAACTTTTGTACTCAGCACATCAAAGAAGTTCAGAGCTCATTGAGGCTTCAGGGGCTTTCTCATTCAGTGTCTTGGTTTTCTAGACAATGATGGGAAAATTGAGTTCCAGAAGTTGTACTAATATTTGTTGGAAGGCTTAAACTTAGAAAGCACATGTTTTGACTTTTAAATAAGCTTTGAAAAAATACTTAAATTACATATTCCTGTATAACATATTTACGCTGGCCTTATCTTGACCTCATTTTTTTCAGGTCAACTTCACACTGACTTACCACTTACCGCTCTGTCAAACTATTTTGTCTGTGACACTAGTGAAAATCTTATCCTCAGTAATAGCTTATATCTCTCCCTTCCCTTCCTTCGCCTTCCCTCCCCTCCCCTCCCTTCCTTCCTTCTTTCCTTCCTTCCTTCCTCTCTTCATCTCTCCCTTTCTTCTTCCCTTCCCTTCCTTTCCTTTTCCTTCCCTCTTCCCTCCCTTCTAAAATAAACTCATAATCTCTTTCTTCTTTTCAAAGCTTTCTGTAAATCTATGAAACTGTAAATCTATATGCCCTATCAGACAATGCCATATTATCTTCTAACTCAATTAGATATAAATTCTAATATAATTTTGCAATTTAAATGATTAATAAATATGAATGCTTTACCAAACTTATCTGTTTTTAAGGTTGATTCAAGTGAAAAACTTCTAGTTTTAAAGTTTTCTTACTGTCTATACATTGGCAATGATACTGAACTTTTAGAAACAGGGATTCATTAATAGTCCTTTTAGTTACCTTATCTTTTCTGTCCAAATGTTGATGTGGCATTTCAAGAGAAATGTTGATAAGCATCAAACAACTGATTGATGGAGAACAAATGATGACTTTAACCCAAAAGGGGCACATTATTGAGATTGGCCCCTCAATACATTATATCCTGTCCCCACAAGATGGCAGCCATGCTTGATGTAGATTTAATCAGCTTACTTTTTGAATGTCTCTACTTTTAACAGTTTACAAGGATATTATTAACTCATACTAATCAAATAGCTATAATGAAGCAAACTTTATATTTTAAGGTTTTTTTTGTTAACTTGAATTTCTGAAGTTTTATTTCTTCTGGTTCTCCTAAACCTTTCACATAGAAGTAATAGGTTTCTATTAGAAGGCTCCAATAAATATCTGTTTTATTCATATTTTCTCTAGTTTGATCACTTGCTTAGGAATTAAAGACCAATAGAACGATCTTTAATAATATGCCACTCACTCCTGAGTTAAAGGATGGTTAGAAAACTGAGACATTATTTTGTGATTCAAATTTCTGGTATAAATATTAAAGTTTCAAAAATGAGTTAATATAACTATTTGCTTTTTAAAGAATACATATCTTATATATCTTGAAATAAGAAATTACACTTTGCCATGGGAAAGAAATTTTCTGTCAATTATTTCACTGATCTTTTTCATGTGGCATATTAGTTGAGGCAAATGTCTGAGTATATCAAAAGCCAAAAACAATTGTATTATGTCAACTATAGTGTACATTAGCATTTTAAATCCTAAAAAAATCAAATTTTATTTTCTCATAATTAACTTTTATTTACAACATTTTTTGTAACATACTTGTCTAGACACATAAGTGGCTCCGTATAGAGTATACTTATGGAATATGCCACAGATAAACTGTACATTTTGGTATAAAATATATTGTATTTTATAGTAGCACAAGTCATGAAGAAAGTGTAAATAGAGAAACAAAAGCTTGATTTATATACATATGTATAATATATATATATTGACTTTGAAGATTTTAAAGGAGTCATAGAAAACATTTCATTTCTTAGTGGATAGCTACATAATTTATTTAGAATTAAATACAATAGATTCCTTATTCCTCATTGGTTCTGCAAATTGGTGGTGAATTTAAGCATTTAACAGATTATGAATAGATGAATGAATTAAGGAGTGAAGAAAAGGATAAAATAAAAATTTTTAAATATTGTGGAATATTACCCATGCGGCATAATACAAAATCATCTTAATTCCAAAATAAACAGATAACTGAGGTATCAAAGTTTTCTGTTCATAAGATTATTTTGCCTATTTATCAGTCCCATAGTTTACAACACAAATAGTGGTTATTCATTTGGTCTAGAACAGATGGAAGATATTTTCAAAGGGTTCTTTGGAATATGTCAATAAAAATTATCTCAGCAATAGAAGCCAAAATATGAATCTCTGCCCAAATTTAACTTGAACTATTTGTAGTATGGTTTATGTGACTAAAGAGAATGCTGAGTTGGGGGTGGTTGGACACTAAATTTAGGGTTAGATTTCACAGAATTTACCTGAAGTTTGTTAATATAAAATTACACTATCAACATTTTGTTTGCTCTCCTTTTTCTAAACTTTGCTGCTTTTTCACATTTTTTATTTCATCAAGAGAGTTTAACTATAATTAGACACAACAAAATCAAAATTGTGAAAATAAGACAATATTTAAACATTTTTAAATGCCAGTGTGTTTAAAAAATATCTAAACTAGCATTTCCCACATTGAGCTCTATGGAATACTGTTCATGGGAAAAATAAAAAAAAATAAAGGAGGCTTCGTGGTCACATAAGATTGTAAAGTGCTAAATAGATATTTTCTTCTCTTACAGATCTGCAGTGCAAATTAATATATTAAAAGTCAAGAGAAGTCTACTAGGAAACAAATCATTAACCTGTATTAATCCTAGTATATCCCAAATGTTTTTAGCCCTCAATTTCCCTTTTTATAATACATACTGAACACTCTTTGTTACACTGTTGCAACGCATTTTCTAAATTCCAAAAGTAAAATTATTATTTTTGTTGTTGTTGTTGATTTCTCTTCTGTTTTTTGATATTTCTATTAGCCAGATCACAAATCTGTATGCTGGAATATCATATCTGGAGAGAAATTCTGGTTTGTGCTGTAATAGAAATTTCTAATCTCCATTTTGAACTTCTGTGATGGAAGAAAGATCTATCACTAAGCAATAAACATGTTTTCATTTTAAAATGCTTTATAGATTTTTGCTTATGATTAGGATATAAAAATTTAAAAACATTGTTGTGATTCTAACAGTGAGAAAATACTGGATGATATATAAAAATATTATTTTTCTTAAACCCATCAGACAGCTGATGTAATGAGACAACAAAGTAAACTGAGTTCCAAGAAGTAGAAGGCACCTTGGATGTGAGACAGGACATTAAAATTGTTTCATTTTATCAGAGCACAGAAGGGGCTGCTGTAGAAGCACATAAGAAAAAAACAACCCAAATTTTAATGAATTCCTAAAAGCTTAATGTGGATTACAAAAAAATTAAAACACCTGGGAACACAAACACAGGACATTTTCATTCAATTATAAACTAGTCTATAGATCTTCACAGGAGTTCATGGGAAAGAATGAGGACCAGGGAGGATCGCTAAATGCTAAAGGTATGATGGGGGTAGAATAGCTTCAAACTATAGTCCACTTTCCTGCACCCTTCACTGTAGGTAGAAAAAAGCTTTAAGCTGATTAGGGAGAAGCAACAAACTGTCTTATCCCCAGGTCCCAGGCAAAGATCCAGTGCTCTGTGGATCAAAGCAAAACTCATCAACTTCTGGAGAAGTGTTAGTGAACCTTTCTTTCTGACATCAAGCAAAGATCACTGTTTTGGGGAGAGGGAATGAATCAAAATTGTCTTACCTTATGAAAACTTTTATGGGTCAGGATACTATGATGATATAAAGCAGAGGTGTACTCTTGCTGGAGGCAAAGAGGGGAAAAAAGTATCTCTCCTGTTTCAGATCCTTCAGAGATACAAGTCTGAATATAGTTCTCTTGGGGAGGAGAGAGACAAGAATAATAATAAAACCCTATTCCTGATACTCAGGCACATAGATGTTGTCTAAGACTGAACCTGCACCTGAAGAACCGCAAGTTTGCTTCCTGCCTCCGTAATGAGTTTAGGATTGAATAAAAAGCAACAGCAGTCTACTTAGAGAGGAAGGAGTATGGATATAGAGACCCTCTATTTGACACAGTAGTGCAATGGATTCTGAAAGGGAGGGAGCACAAAAACTGATAGAAGCCTCCAACACCACAGTCCTCACTCAATCATGTGGTTCAACCAGCCCACACTGAAAAAATTAGAAGACTGGCTGGCAATGAGGGTGAATATATCAAAAACAAAGCCCAAACACAACTCAATTATTTACTACCACCCTAAGAGAGGAAGAGTTGTATACATTTCTGGCTATGAATGTTCTTCACCTCAGTCTTTATTGTTCTTGAATTCACAATGTTTAACATCACTCAAAAATTATAAGACAAACAAAATAGCAAGAAACAAACAAGCCATTTTCCAGAGCTAAAACAATCAATAGAAGGAGTTTGAGCTGTTAGTCAGATGTTAAAACTATCAGTCAGGGGATTTACAAAAACTATGATTTGCATATCTACTACTATCTGATCTTTGACAAACCTGACAAAAACAATAAATGGGGAAAGGATTCCCTATTTAATAAATGGTGCTGGGAAAACTGGCTAGCCATATGTAGAAAGCTCAAACTGGATCCCTTCCTTACACCTTATACAAAAATTAATTCAAGATGGATTAAAGACTTACATGTTAGACCTAAAACCATAAAAACCCTAGAAGAAAACCTAGGCATTACCATTCAGGACATAGGCATGGGCAAGGACTTCATGTCTAAAACACCTAAAGCAATGGCAACAAAAGCCAAAATTGACAAATGGGATCTAATTAAACTAAAGAGCTTCTGCACAGCAAAAGAAACTACCATCAGAGTGAACAGGCAACCTACAGAATGGGAGAAAATTTTTTCAATCTACTCATCTGACAAAGGGCTAACATCCAGAATCTACAATGAACTCAAACAAATTTACAAGAAAAAAACAACCCCATCAAGAAGTGGGTGAAGAATATGAACAGACACTTCTCAAAAGAAGACATTTATGCAGCCAAAAGACACATGAAAAAATGCTCATCATCACTGGCCATCAGAGAAATGCAAATCAAAACCACAATGAGATACCATCTCACACCAGTTAGAATGGCAATCATTAAAAAGTCAGGTGCTGGAAAGGATGTGGAGAAATAGGAACACCTTTACACTGTTGGTGGGACTGTAAACTAGTTCAACCATTGTGGAAGTTGGTGTGGTGATTCCTCAGGGATCTAGAACTAGAAATACCATTTGACCCAGCCATCCCATTACTGGGTATATACCCAAAGGATTATAAAACATGCTGCTATAAAGACACATGCACACAAATGTTTATTGTGGCACTATTCACAACAGCAAAGACTTGGAACCAGCCCAAATGTCCAGCAATGATAGACTGGATTAAGAAAATGTGGCCCATATACACCACGGAATACTATGCAGCCATAAAAAATGATGAGTTCATGTCCTTTGTAGGGACATGGATGAAGCTGGAAACCATCATTCTCAACAAACTATCACAAGGACAAAAAACCAAACACCACATGTTCTCACTCATAGGTGGGAATTGAACAATGTGAACACATGGACACAGGAAGGGGAACATCACACACCGGGGCCTGTTGTGGGGTGGGGGAAGTGGGGAAGGATAGCATTAGGAGATATACCTAATGTTAAATGATGAGTTAATGGGTGCAGCACACCAACATGGCACATGTATACGTATGTAACTAACCTGCACATTGTGCACATATACCCTGAAACTTAAAGTATAATAACAAAAAAAATATATATGTTAAATGATATAGTGGTAAAGGTTAAGAACATAAATGAAAAGACAGAGATTTCAACAAAAAGATGAAATCTATTAAAATGAATCAAACAAAAATCCCTGAAATTTAAAACAACAACAAACCATGATATCTAAATTGAAGAATTACTTTGAGGGGCTTGTCATGCCTGAGGAAGAAATTTGTGAAATTTAAAGTGGGTTGATATAAACTATACAAAATAAAACCTGTGGAAATAAATGTTGGGCTAAAATGTCCCTTTCTTCCCTAATCACAATTACAACCCACAGAAATTACTGAATTTCTGAAATGGCAACTTGGAAATGACTTATAACATATTAAACTATTACCATATATATTTTTTCAGCTATGATTATGATTATTCATTTATTTCCTCATAGTTGCATAGGCTTGAGTCCTTTCCATGCTTCAGTTGACTAACCCCCATATCAAAGTACAGAATAAATGTAAATGTTATAACCTCTCTGAAATATCATGATTTGATGCGTTAAACATAATTTTCTCTTCTCAGAATTTGGATCCATAGTTTTTTTATCATGACAAACAGCATCATTATGGTTGACATTTTCTTTATTGTACAATATTTCCATCATAAATTAAGACAGAAGTATTAGATCTGATTATATGACTAGGAGGAAACAACTAACATGATAAATTATTTGTGATGGTTTTAAAGATAAATTCAATAAGGATGATATTGTTTATGCAGTAACCATAGTAAAAAAGCAATATTTTCCCTGTTGAAACAATTAAATTTTCAAAATAACATTCTCAAATCCCCCAGAGAAATGTTTCTATAGTATTATAAAATAATATCTTTTAATGACTTGTACTGATTTAATATAATTAAATACATTTTTAAACATATATTTTTAAAATGAGAAATATTATTCAGATTAAAAAATGATCTCCTTAAAGATATCCTAATTATGACCTTTATGTCTACTTTGCTTAGAGAAATTTTCATTTCATTAGTAAAATTTGAAACTTTTTCATTTTGATTCAGGTGATTTTGAATTAAGGTTTTTACTGAAGAGGGAAAGAATCTTTCTCAAACGTTTGGAGATGTGGCTATTTAGTTTATAACACTTGTGCTTTCTCCTGGTCTTTTTTTTTTTTTTTTTTTGTTATCCTTCAAGTTGCTACATAAACATAAACAAAATTGGATGACTATTTTGTTATCCTTCAAATTGCGACATAAACATATATATAATATATATATATATATATAATATATATACTTTTTTTTTTTTTTTTTTTTTTTTGAGATGGAGTCTCGCTCTGTCGCCCAGGCTGGAGTGCAGTGGCACGATCTTGGCTCACTGCAAGCTCCGCCGCCCACACCCCGCAACCCCGCCCCATTCATGCCATTCTCCTGCCTCAGCCTCCTGAGTAGCTGGGACTACAGGTGGCCGCCACTATGCCCGGCTAATTTTTCTTGTATTTTTAGTAGAGACAGGATGGTCTCGATTTTCTGACCTCGTGATCCGCCCGCCTCAGCCTCCCAAAGTGCTGGGATCACAGGCGTGAGCCACCGCGCCCAGCCTCTCCTGGTTTTTTCAGGCCAATAAATAATAATGACCAAAATCTGCAAGAACTCTAAGTGGGTCTGACGTATTTTTGACCAGGTGCTGTAGATCAAAGAATTGGCATCCACAGTTGAGACTGATTAATAATCAAGGTAAATTGTTTTAATGTGCAATTAATAGATTCCCTGTTTGGAGAGGTACATTTTTCTTGTCCCCCCTCCAATTGAAACAAAACTGCACTGTTTAGGTGTTTCTTAGCATATAAGGGTCAATTCACAAATATTAATAAATAAATGTGGAATGAATAAATATGTTTAGAATGGCGATTGATTCATAAAAGTCATTTTCAAAGGAAAAAAGAAGATTGATTACTAATACAATGACAAATATTGTTGTTGACTATAGTATGGTTACCTAAAGGAGAATAATGATGAACATCTAAGCACATATAAAAATGATGTTACCTACCTGGAAAAATGAAATACCCTTATACTCTAGGTATAGTGGTATACTTATTTAAAAAAAAAAATTCAGGGAAATAAATTTATCTAAATTGTATTAAGGTTGTCTATGAAAGCAATGAGTAACATTTAATAACAATGATGGAAAATCCTTGAATATAATTTCAGATACAGAATAATTTACTACCGCGTTCACACACACACACACAGCTACGTAGAGTAAAACAAAGAAGTGTTATTGCTTAGCATGTTGCCACTGCTTGAAATAAATATAGGTGATTTTTTGGTTTTGGTGTTTCTATTTTTTTGAATTTTCCTTAATTAGCCCATGGTAATTTACCATAAATAGTAACAAAATAAAACAAGATCATATGAGAACTTTTTATTTTGTTTTCACCACTTACAGTAAAAGTTAGAATGACAAAATTATAAGAATAGGAGATCAAAAAATAAGCAAAGACTAAGTGATCTTCATTTAAAGATGTTATAGCTATTATTCAGTGAATGGTACCATAGAAACAATCACTAGAGCTTAGAATGACTGATTGAGTAAAAACAGGTATAAAAATCAACCAACATAGGCATAGTATATTTTCATGGCTACTTTTAAAGGCATCATTAATGCTTATTTTGTCCTGCTTTGGAATGGCAGTGGTTATTTATAATTCTAGTGATTTGAATTCACATGCTCTATTAAAAAAAAGACAATATTTTTCACATATGAAAATTTGAGAGTCAAAGATGTCATTTGAGTTTTAAAAAATGTGGATATCATCATGATGGCTGACTAGAGATGCCCAATGTTCAGAGGAGTTTACATGAGTGTACCTCAGGGCCTCAGAGCCAGCTACCTAGTGCCAGTTGACAGTGACCTCATTCTCCTGACTGGTGATTACTAAGAGTTGTGCATATCTCCCCCAAGCCTTGAGGACAGGCACATTTGGTGCCTACTGCTGCTGGTGAACCCACCTCCAGCAAAGCTGTGCCATTGCCTCCACAAAAGCCTGCAATTTAAGGCACAGAGGTACTCAAAGACATTGCTGATGTTGATTACACCAGAAATATTATACAAAGACTACATTACTGCTCTTACACAGAAACAAAAGCCAAAGCACTCTACTCAAGCAACATCACAAGTCACATCTTGTATTAGTCCATTTTCATACTGCTATAGAAAACTGCTCAAGTCTGGGTAATTTATAAAAGAAAGAGGTTTAACTGACTCACAGTTCAGCATGGCCGGGGAGGCCTCAGCAAACGTGCAATCATGTCAGAAGGCAAAGGGGAAGCAAGGCACCTTCTTCACAAAGTGGCAGGAAGAAGTGCCGAGCAAAAAGAGAAGAGGAAGCCCTTATAAAACCATTTTAGATCTTCTGAGAACTCACTTACTATCAGGAGAACAGCATGGAAAAAACTGCCCCCATGATTTAATGACCTCCACCTGGTCTCTCCCTTGACACATGGGGATTATAGGGATTACAATTCAAGATGAGATTTGGGTAGAGATACGAAGCCTAACCATGTCATATCTACAAGAAAAAGTCTTTTCCTACAAAAGCTATTCCGTAAAATTGGAAGAGGTGACTGTTCCACCCGATGTGCAGATATCAAGATAGGGACATGAGATAAATAAAGAAGCAAGAAAACATGACACCTGCAAAATTTTCCAGCAACAGACCCCAAAGAAAAAGAAATAAAAAGAAAATTTAAAAAGTTTTTGAAACAAATGAAAATAGAATAACAATATATCAAAACCTATGAGACAGCAGCAAAAGCCATACTAAGAGGAAAGTTTGTAACAATAAATATCTACATCAAAAAAAGAAAATTTTCAAATAAACAACCTAACAAACACCTCAAGAAACTAGAAAAGCAAGAACAAACCAAGCTCCAAATTAGTAGAAAGCAAGAAACAATAAAGATGACAGCAGAAATAAAATAGAGACTAAAAAATACAACAGAACAATGAAACAAAGTTTTTTTTAAAAAATGATAAAATTGACAAAGTGTTAGTAGTTAGCTAGACTGACAAAAAAAAGAGAAGGTTCAAATAAATAAAATAACGAACTAAAAAAAAATACATGACAATTGATACACAGAAATACAAAGGATCATGGAAAACCCAGAGGAAATGGATACGTTCCTAGACACATATTACCTACCAAGATTGAACCAAGAAGAAATATAAAACATGAACAGGCCAATGACAAGTAATGAGATTCAATCAGTAATAAAAATTATCATAACAAAGGAAAACCTAAAACCCAAAGATTTCACTGCTGAATTTTATCAAACTTTTAATGAACTAACACCAGTTCTCTATTTATTGCAAAAAAAAAAAAAAAAAAAAAAAAAAAATTGAAGAGGAGAGAATTCTTCCAAACTTCTTTTACAAGGCCAGAATTACCATGACACTGAAACCAGATGAGGACACAACAAAAAAGAAGGGTATAGGCCAAAGTCCCTAATGAACACAGACACAAAAATCTAAAAAAACCAAACCAAAACAAAACAAAAACCAGGCAAACTGAATGCAGCAACATATTAAAAAGCTCATTCACTAAGAGCAAGTTGGATTTATCACATTATTTTAATACACAAAAAATGGACACACATACCATGTTTATGAATGGGAAAAATTAATATTGTTAAACTTACCATACTACCCAATGCAATCTTATTAAATTATCAATGCCATACTTTACAAAAATAGAAAATAAAAATCCTAAAATGTGTATGGAATAACAAAAAACTCCAAGTAGCCAATGCAATCCTGGGCAAAAAAAGACCAAAGCTGGGGGCATCAAACTACTTAACTTCAAATAGGCTACAAAGCTATAGTATCCATTAAAGCATGGTACTGGGATAAAAACCAACCAAGGCATCAGAATAGAGAATCCAGTAGTAAATTTACATATTTCCAGCCAACTGATTTTCAACAAAGGTGACAAAAAAGTACACTGGGTGATATGGTTGGGATATGTCCCCACCCAAATCTCATCTTGAATTGTATCTCCCATAATTCCCATCTGGTGGGAGATAATTCAATCATGAGGGTGGTTTCCTCTATACTTTTCTTGTGATAGTGAATAACACACAAGATCTGATGATTTTATAAGGGAAATGCCCTTTCACTTGGTTCTCTTTCTCTCTTCCCTCTGCTATGTAAAATGTAATTTGCTCTTCCTTGTCATCTGTCATAATTTTGAGGCCTCCCCAGCCATGTGGAACTGTGAGTCAATTAAACCTCTTTCCTTTATAAAGTACCTAGACTTGGGTACGGCTTCCTCAACAGTGTAAAAACAGACTTGTACAGTAAATTGGTACTGGTAGAGTGGGGGGGCTGCTGCAAAGATACCCAAAAATATGGAAGCAACTTTGGAATTGGGTAACAGGCAGAGGCTGGAACAGTTTTGAGGGCTCATGAGAAGATAGAAAAATGTGGGAATGTTTGAAACTTCCTAGAGACTTGTAGTGCTCAAAAGACAGGAAGATGTGGGAAAGTTAGGAACTTCCTAGAGACTTGTTGAATGGCTTTGACCAAAATGCTGATAGTGATATGGACAATAAAGTCCAGGCTGACACGGTGTCAGTTGGAGATGTAGAACTTGTTGAGAACTAGTAGCAGTTTGCCCCTTCGTTAGAGATCTGCAGAACTTTTAACTTCAGAGAGATGATTAAAGGTGGTGTCTGGTGGAAGAAATTTCTAAGTAGTGAAGCATTCAAGAGGAAGCAGAGCATAAAAGTTTGGAAAATCTGCAGACTGATGATGCAATAGAAAGAAAAGAAAAAACCATTTTCAGGGGAGAAATTCAAGCCTGTTGCAGAAATTTGCATAAGTAACAAGGAGCCAAATGTTGATCTCCAAGACCATGGGAAAATATCTCCAGGGCATGTCAGAGACATTTGTGGCAGGCCCTCCCATCACAGGCCTGGAGGCCTAAGAGGAAAAATGGTTTTGTAGGCCAGACTTAAGGCCCTCCTACTTTGTGCAACCTTGGGACTTGGTGCCCTGCTTCCCAGCCACTCTAGCCATGGCTAAAAGGGGCCAAGGTACAACTTGGGCCATAGCTTCAGAAGATGCAAACCCCAAGCCTTGGCAGCTTCCATGTGGTGTTGAGCCTGTGAATTCACAGAAGTCAAGAATTGAGGTTTGGGAACTTCTGCCTGGATTTCAGAGGATGTATGGAAATGTCTAGATGCCCAGGCAGACATTTTCTGCAGTCAGGGCCCCCTGAAGCAAACTAGAACCCCTGCCAGGGCAGTGTAGAAGAGAAATGTGGGGTGGAAACCCCACACAGAGTCCCCACTGGGGCACTGCCTAGTGGAGCTGTGTGAAAAGGGCCACTGTCTTCCAGACCCGAGAATGGTAGATCCACTGACAGCTTGGACCGTGCACCTGGAAAAGCTGCAGACGCTCAATGCTAGCCCATGAAAGCAGCCAGGAGTAGAGGCTAAACCCTAAGGCCACATGGGTGGAGCTGCACAAGACCATGGGAACCCACCTCCTGCATCAGTGTGACCTGGATGTGAGACATGTAGTCAAAGGAGGTTATTTTGAAACTTTAAGATTTGACTGCCCCACTGGATTTTGGACTTTCATGGGGCCTTTAGCCCCTTTGTTTTGGCCCATTTCTTCCATTTGGAATGGGTCTATTTATCCAATGCCTGTACTTCCATTGCATCTAGGAAGTAACTAACTTGCTTTTGACTTTACAGGCTCATAGGCAGAAGGGACTTGCCTTGTCTCAAATAAGACTTTGGACTGTGAACTTTTGAGTTAATACTGAAATGAGTTGACTTTGGGGGACTGTTGGGAAGGCATGATTGGTTTTGAAATGTGAGGACATGAGATTTGGGAAGGGCCAGGCGTGAAATGATATGGTTTGGCTGTGTCCCTAACCAAATCTCATCTTGAATTGTACTCCCATAATTCCCATATGTTGTGGGAGGGATCTGGTGGAAGATAACTGAATCATGTGGGCAGTTTCCCTGATACTGTTCTCATCATAGTGAATAATTCTCACAAGATCTGATGGTTTTATAAGGGGAACCCCATTTCTCTTGGCCCTCTTTCTTTCTTCCCTGCCACCATGTAAGATGTGACTTGCTCTTACTTGCCTTCTGCCATGAATGTGAGGCCTCATCAGCCATGTGGAACTGTGAGTAAACTGAACCTCTTTCCTTTATAAATTACCCAATCTCGAGTATGTCTTTATCAGCACTGTGAAAATGGACTAATACCCTGGGCAAAGGATAATAAATAAATGTTGCTGCAAAAACTAAACATCCATATGCAGAAGAATGAAAATAGACTCTCATATGCCACAATACAAAAAAAAAAATCAATTCAAAATGTATTCAAGACTTAAATATCAGACTCAAAACTATGAAACTACCAGAAGAAAACATAGTGGAAATGGTTTAGGCCATATGCCTGCACAAAGATTTTAAAAATAAGACCTCAAAATCACAGGAAACAATAGGAAAAACAGGCAAATGGAATTGAATCAAACTAAGGAGCTTCTACATAGTAAAGGAAATAATCAATGAAATGAAGAGACAACCTGTGAATGGGATAAAATATTTGCAAAATATTCATCTGACAAGGAAATAATATCCAGAATATCCAAAATCTTAAACAACTCAACAGCAAAAGACTAAATATAATAATACAGTTCAAATTGGGCAATTGATTTGAATAGACAATTCTCCAAAGAAGCCATACAAATGGCCATACAAAAAGAAATATATGAAAAAAATGGTCAGCATCACTAATCATCAGAGAAAGGCAAATCTGGATAAGATATTATCTCACCTTAGAAGGGCTATTATAAAAAAGACAAAAAATAACAAATGCTGGTGGTGATGCAGCATAAAAGGGAAATACTTATACATGGTTAGTGGGAATATAAGTTAGTTCGTTATGGAAAACAGTATGGAGGTTCCTCTAAATGTTAAAACTAGAGCTACCATATGATCAAGCAATCACCCTACTGGGTATATATCCAAAGGAAATAATATGTCAAATAGAAACCTGAACTCCTATGTCTATTACAGATTCTTCACAATAGCCAAGATACGTAATCAATCTAAATGTCCATCAACAGATGCATAGATAAGTAAATGTTACCCATGAACACAATGTCATACTATTCAGCCATAAAAAAGAATGAAATTCTGTCATTAATGGTAACACAAATTAGCCTGGAGGACATTATATTAAGTGAAATCAGCCAGGCACAGAAAGATGAAAATGACATGTTTTCACTCATATGTAGAAGCTAAAAATGTTGATCTCATAGAAGTAAAGATTAGAATAGTTGCTACTCTAGAGGCTGACAAGGAAGGGTAGGGGAGGTAGAGATAGGGAGAGGTTGGTTAATGTATACAAAATTAAAGCTAGATAGAAGGAACAAATTGTAGTGTTCTATAGCATTGTAAGGTGATATAGTAAATAATAATTTCTTGTATAATCTCAAAAAGTAGAAGACAGGATTTTGAATGTTTTCAATACAAAGAAATGATCAATGTTTGAGGTGATCCATGTGCTAATTACCCTATTTGGATCATTTCATACTGTATACATGTATTGAAATATCACTCTGTACCCCATACCTATGTCTAATTATCATGTCTATTAAAAATAATTTTTAAAAACTCAAAAAAGATATAATCATTGTATTCAATTAAGCTAAGAAGATTGGGGAAATAATTTATATTAATCAGCATGCTGAATAAAAGTATAAACCTTATTGACTTAAAGATATTACCTTCATCTTAAATCCATCTAGCTCAAATGTAACTAATTAATAAGGCAATAATACAAATTTAAATACTGCACTCTTATGCAGAAGTTATAGCCTCTTATTCTACTGTCCTTGCTTTGATGATAGCATTTCCAAGAAAAAAAAAATATGGTACATTAGAAAAATAATGCATTTTCCACTTTTGGGCAGCCTAGAAATTTTAATTGGATGTATCAGTGACAGATATTGTGGGCTTCAACAAACCACTCAATACTTGTTTTCCTATCTTTATTTATAAAATGTGGATTTGAATAGATAATTTCCAACTGCATTATTGGGACCTCTGAAAAATCAAGTTTGTTTTGCATGGTACACCAATGAGGTGATTAAAAACAGCACTTGAAGCATACGCACAAAACCACAAATAACTGGTATGCTTAGACCAAATCAGTGAAGATTATTGTTTTCTTTCTTCAATTCACTGTACATACGCAGTAGAGCCAACCTAAAAATCTACTTGAAAGATTTAAGGGAAACTTAAAAATAAAACTTTTTTAAAAAATGAAAAAAAATTAAGAGAGAGTTTTCCACCTTTTATAGTTGCATAAATTGTCACAGATACTATCCAATTTTAAGATGTGAACAATTTGCAATGGAAGTAAACCCAAGATAAAGGGAAATCACATGAAATAGCACAATACTGTATGAATCTATCCCTTACTTATTACATGTAGGAGGCTTGAGAAGAAAAAGTGCAGCTTAAAGACTTACTGAATACTGTGTACTAAAGAGGCAGGTATGAAAATATTAACAAGTCTACCACTTAGGGGCACAAATAGTTATGGTGGTATTATTATGTAGCCTGAAAAATGCATATCGACTCTGTCCAATCCATCTCCTCTTTTGTTGTTTTTTACATCATGACCTCTATATTAACTGGGGAAGTAAAGACTCATTTAAGTAAAATAATATGTTCAAATAATGGATTTAATTTTGTCTTATCAAAAATCCAATTCAAAGTGAATAGAAAATGCAGCTAGGGGCCAGACGCAGTGGCTCATGCCTGTAATCCCAACACTTTAGGAGACCGAGGCAGGTGGATTATTTGAGTTCAGGAGTTCGAGACCAGCCTGGCCAATATGGTGAAACCTCAAATCTACTAAAAATACAAAAATTAGCCAGGTGTGGTGGCACATGCCTGTAATCCCAGCTACTCGGGAGGCTGAGGCAGGGGAATTGCTTGAACCTGGGAGGCAGAGGTTACAGTGAGCCGAGATGGGCCACTGCACTCTAGTCTGGGCAACAGAGCAAGACTCCATCTCAAAAAAAAAAAAGAAAGATAAAAGAAAAAGAAAATGCAGCTAGGGTATAGTATGTTTCATCTCATGATGGCAGAATTAAATTGGAAGATCACAGAATTTATTATTCCAGATATTTTTGTAATGGAAGATCACAGAATTTATTATTTCAGATATTTTTGTAATGCATTTATCCTCCTGCACTATTTTCATGGAGAAGTAGGGGGTGGTAGGCATGGGGGTAAAACTTTACCTGCAGAATTTAGCTCCAGTTTTTGTAGGTGATTTCTCACTAAGAGATTACTTGTTGAATGGTGATTTTACCACAACATGAACACTACTGTTGGAAACAACGAGGAAAGATTGCAGGAACAAGTTGATGAGAGAATAAAAATTAATTTACAAATAGAAGTCAGTACTGACCAGGAGCAGGAATATCTCTCGTTTACACCAAAATAGTGTCTATGCCTGTATGATGAGATAGTAAAGGCACATCTCAAATGTGTACCTGATGCTGATGGAGAATTCTCTTCCTTCCTTTTACATAGCTGTCTTTATAATACATTCTGCCATGAAGGAGCTGTGTGACATTGGACAAAGCATATATCTGGTCTCCTGTTTTCCCTGTACCCCTGCTATCTCATGTGAAAGTTGAAGATAATAATAGGTTCATGTAATATTTTATACAATTAAGTATATGAACATATAAAGCACTTAAGACAGTGCACACATTAAGCATGACATGTTAGGTATCATTATGTTTTCTCTGTATTATTATATACATTTACTGTATTATGTATTATTTATAATAGAGTTATAGTATGATTTTTATAATTAAATACAAAAACATGTATAAAACATTTAGTGTACCCTTTAAGCATGCTATGTATTAGCTAAAATATGCATGTGTTATCTATCACTATTGTAATTTTGGTCAATTTGGTTGAGAGGAACTGCTTCTTGACTTCCCAGATCAACTTGATTTAGTCCCTACACTTCCCAGAAATACATGAAGATGAACATCTCTGTGATAGTAGGGTCACTGGGAGTGCTTCTCAGCTGAATGGAGCTGCTTCTTGGCTTCCCAGGTCAAACTGATCTAGCCCATTAGCTTCTCCAAAATGGGTGAAGACAGTTATCTCCCAGAGTGGTTAGAATGGGCTCTGAGGCTGAGCAGGTAGGCTAGCAATCTAGGAATTCAAGCTAGGTTGAACTGCCCACCATGCTTCTGAAGGTAATCACCTCAGCTTTGCGGGTGAGCTATGAGGTTGGCTGGTATCGGTTATCAAGCACCACAGCTGGCAGGAAAATAGAGGCACCAACAAGATCCACATGTTGGTCAATATGATCTCTGTTTCCTTTCTTTGTTTCTATCTGATCCTGAGAAGTCTAGCTGTGCTGTTTTCCCTGGTGTTGCACTCTTGGTGAGACCACAGTGGGCTTCCTGGGAAGTGTCTCATAATGCTAGAAAAGCTGCACGAATACTTTTGGTGTTCTCTTCCCCATGTAGAAATGGTGGGCCCAGGGAAATTCTCTTCATCTGGCATTATACCAAATTAGGGAAAGGGGTTGTGTAGTATGGTCAGAGTGAGACCGTTATTCTTATCCTTCTAATTCAAACTTAATTTGGTTCTATGGACTACATAGGTGTCTCAGACTTGTTCCCAAGTGTTGAGCTTTTCAAAAGTATATTCTATTCTGAGGATAATTGCTGGTTGAACTTTCTTTCAGGGAGAGATAGGTAGTAGAATTTGAGACTTCCTATTCTGTATCTTGATGTCTATTTTTGAACTTTATATAAATGAAAACAGTTTTCTTTTGTGACTGGCTTCATTTGGTTTACATTTTGTTTATAAGTTTCATCTATGTTGTTGCATGTAGCATTCGCCCGTTCATTTTCAATGCTATAAATACTATCCTACTATGCAAACACACCATAATTAGCTTAATTCATTGTTATTATTATTGTTCTACTGGATAATATGGCCAAGATAATGTACATTAAACATGCTAATAGTGGGCATACTTTATCTAATTTTTCAATAATTTACCAATTCGCCATAAAGATGTCATTTGTTTTGAGATTATATAGATATTCCTTATCAGATTGATACATCTATTCTTACTTTTCTAGAAGTCTAGAAAATAGATATTATCTGTGATCAAATACTTTACTACATTTTAGGAGGATTATAGGTAAGCAAAATATGCTACAGTAAAGTTTAAACTTTTATAATGATTTTAGAAAAATTATTGCTTACATGGATTTTGAAAGTCAGAAAAACAGGAAAATTATTCTGATTAGTAATCTCTATTTATAAATGGAGGAATAGTTCCAAATAAGCTGGTAAAATGGTTCTATGAAATTCAGTATGTGTGACTTTGAGAGAAAAACATAAAATCATGGCTCCCATCCATAAACAAAAAAGAATTTGTCTGTAAGGTACATAAAATATTAATTTTTCCTGATCTGAGACCAAGTACACCACAAAAGGAAAGTATATGCTACCTATAAAATATCTGGTTTCATGTCATAACTTAAAGACAGTTTTACTATGCTCACCTAAATTCAGAATTCAGTATGATATTACATTTCTGCTTTGGGATTATAAAAGTAGGAAGGAATCTTTGATGAGAAAAAAAGTGAAAGCAGGCTAGAGTAGAGATTTCTTTGCAGAAAGTGAATGATCTCTTTGATAGGCAGGTGAAATTTATGTGTCTTCTTTTGGTTCAGGATTGTTCTTTACATTTTGTTTTCTTGGAAATATCATTGCACTATTCCAGTAATCTTTGTTCCCCCCTCCACTGAATACCCTAGATTTTGTTTTGTTTTTGAGATGGAGTCTCACTCTGTCGCCAGGCTAGAGTGCAGTGGCACGATCTCGGCTCACTGCAACCTCCGCCTCCTAGGTTCAAGCGATCCTCCTGCCTCAGCCTCCTGAGTAGCTGAGACTACAAGCGTGGGCGCCACCATGCCCAGCTAATTTTTTGTATTTTTAGTAGAGACGGGGTTTGACCATGTTGGCCAGGATTGGTCTTAATCTCTTGAACTCGTGTTCCGCCCACCTCGGCCTCCCAAAATGCTGGGATTACAGGCATGAGCCACCGCGCCTGGCCTGAATACTCTAGTTTTTTTAAAGCACCCAGTGGTGAGTAATTTCTTTATTCTATTCATGTCACTATGTGCCAAGCAGGGTGCCCAGCATTGAGGATATAGCCATAAAGACCCCTGCCTTCAAGGAGCTTTTATTCTAATGCATATGTATCCTAATACTCAGAATTCAAGTTTAACTGCAGAAAAATAATTTTAAAGATTGTTATGCTTTGAAGTCTGGAGAAAAACAAAACACCATGTGAAACCTTACAGGTTTTGGGAAAAAAATATTTATTAACTAATGTTTTTTTCTTTTGAAAATACGAGTGAGTGCAATCTGATATTATGGCCAAAGATTAAATGTTAAGTAATTTTTAAAGTACATTTTTAAATGTTGATAGCAATGCATGTGGTGAGAGCTTACCAGGATGGAAGGAACAGGCCTAGATAACAATCTAATGCTTTCTGGCTTTGTAAAGTCAAATCAAAAAAACTGGTGGTGAAAACCATAACATTCCTAAAACAATATGCATATGATTGGCAGACATCAAAGAAAACTCTCCCAAATCGATGCTTTGGCTTTCTGTGCTATTCATTATTGAGGAAATAAAACCCCATTATGCAAGAGATATATTGTTACTTTATGACATATATTGTTCTTTTCTTTTGCAGGATAGACATATGGCCATGTCTATATTTGGTTTCATATTTTAATAAAGCATTTGAGAAAATACATCTACCACTTCTTCATTTTCATGCTGTGTATTTCTTCTGGCAATCTCCCATCCTAAGACTAGTAAATAGCTTACCTATGAAGATGAAAAAAAAATAACTTTTAAAATATAGAAATAACTCTGGTAGGGCCTGGCATGGCAGCTCACACCTGTAATCCCAGCACTTTGGGAGGCCAAGGCAGGTGGATCACGAGGTCATGAGTTCAAGACCAGCCTGGCCAACATGGTGAGACCCCCGTCTCTAGTAAAAATACAAAAATTAGCTGGATGTGGTGGCCTGTGCCTGTAATCTCAGCTACTTGGGAGGCTGAGGGAAGAGAATTGCTTGAACCTGGGAGGCTGAAGTTGCAGTGAGCCAAGATTGCGCCACTGTACTCCAGCCTGAATGACAGAGCAAGACTCTGTTAAAAAAAAAAAAAAGAAAGAGAAAGAAAGAAAGAAAAGAAAAGAAAGAAATAACTCTGCTAAACTCAAGATACATTTGGCAATTCATTTTGCAGAAGTAAAGACCGACTCATCTATGAAAACATATTGTCAAATGCTTTTATTCATTTACCCACATTATGTAAGTTCTTTTTTTAGTAACTTTCATATTTCCATCAAGAAGTCTTAGTTTTAAATTCCCCAAGCTTTTCCTTTTTCTTAAAAAAAGGCTTGGGAAAGAAATATATTTTTGTGGTGTGACCTAAAGTTCTGTTTTAATACAGAGTGCTCAAATACCTGATCTATGAGATCTATCAGATTCACACCAGTCTTTCATTTTTGTCTACTACTTTTCTTTATACCATCTAATAGGGAATCAAAAATATCTTCCTAAGCCTCAGTAGAATATTGTCTTAAGCTGCACTTTTCTCTAACTCAGAATGTCTAGAAATATTTCAGTTTAAAAGAACCACTCAATCATGGGAGAAATGCTGTTGTAATCTAACTATTTTAATGTTTTACTGCCTTGAATCTTACTTTGCCTAGATTTTCCTGCAGTGAGTGAGTCTCATCTGTGTAAGATTTCTTAGATGGCTTGAATTTATACTCTAGCACTGAGAACTCTACCTACTTTAACAAGGGACTCAACTAGCCCTGCAGAAGTAGTTTAGAGATTTGTACCTTCTTTGAATATTCATTTCACATAGTTGCTGATTCTTAAGAATGTGGCATGCATACAATTTCTTGAAAGCTGTGCATGCAAAAGAATCTATTTCAGAACTGCATCATTACCATAGAAATGTAAACGCATCATTGTCTTTAGAAAGGAAAAATAAAGAATGTAAATTAGCATTTTCCTTAGTCCCACCATATTAAATTTCTGTAAAAAGTAAAATTATTAGAATCATTATTAAAGCATAGAAGCATTATTTTCCTACCATGTTTATTCAAAATGATGAAATACAATTCCAAAACTTGTTACATGAAAAATATTAAATATTTAAACTTTTATATTGTGGAGACTTTAATGTTTGATTTCTCTGAAATAAAATAGGAATTTTAAGGCATTTCCTTGTCTAGTTAATTTTTCCTACAAGATCATATTAATAGTTTGTCTTCCAGTAATGGTGTTCTTCTGGGTACAAAAGACGTAAGTAGGTTCTTCCTTCATTTCTGGCCAGTTGAGTTTCAGAACATGCACTTTTGTACTAATTTACTATAAAAATTAACTTACTATTAAAATGATGGGATTTTTAATCAATGATATTTTTCAAATATTTATGAAACATAAAGAAATGATAAGGGAAAATGTTAGCAAGGTTTCATGATGCTTGAAATTTAAACCATTATTGATGATATTTAGTGAAATGTGGAGTTTTGAACTTACAATGTTGATTCTGAAATTTTGGTGGTCACTCAGATTTTTAATTTCTTTTAGAAAGAAAACAAAACAAAACTAGCTGTTTGTTTAACCAGAGATAGGCACCATTATAAACACCATTACTGACTTTATGAAAAGGCATTGGTGAAAAGATCTTTTCTTTGTTTGATGCATGTCTCCTCACTAAAGCTTTCCATGTAATAAACCACATTTCAATATTCTATTCCTCAATCTTTATACTTTATATTAGAAGAGAAAAAAAGGAGAAATATCTTGCTTTTCTCTTCTTCACCTAAATATTTGTGACACCTACCTTCTAGTTAGCATGTGAATAACTGAATAATCTACAAAAATAATTTATTTCACTAAATGATGCATTTTGCAATCACTATCTTGTTTCATAAGCATATTTCGAGATAATTATTACAGAAACTTTTTTGAACTAAAAAAAAAATGTACATGCTCTTTGAATCTATTTAACCTGTTTTGACCAGAAGAGAATAAATTAAAATGATTTGTGGTGTGTGAGTGAAGTTTCTTCAAAACTACCAAAATAGTTATTACATTAAGAATGAAAAATAACATAGGCCATCAGTTTCCAATTATAATAAAATCATGAGGTTAAAATGCTTTCCTCTCTATAGGAGATGATTTTGTTACTAACATTCTGAGACCATCAGAGTAATGAACAATTGCAGTTTTCCAGCTATATTGCTGGAAGGTTATAAACAATTTTTAGGACTGGAACCAAAATAGTAAATGCTATCTAAAAAGCTTCCTGACAGTTAAGAACAAAGCCTAGTTTTCTTATCATCTTAGTTTGTAGTCCCCTCAAAATACCATGATATAAAAACTTGGATACCAGTACTTTATTTAGTAGATGATTAAAAAAAAAAAAAAAGCCAGAGAATAGGAAAAGTGAGAGTGGAAGAAAGAAAAAGCCAGCATAGAATGTGTTAATGAGTGGATTGTTGGGACTCACTTCTGCTGAGTATCCTCTGACAAACTGTGATGAATATGCTTCTGGATAGTACTACTGAGAGATGGGCATTTTTTTCTCCACAATTGCAGGTGAAGACACAAGCAAGCCAAGGAAATATTGAGTGCTTTATCCATTGTGTTGGCTACCGTCTACCTCTTGCACTGCTCAGATATGCTTACATCCAATACAGATTCTGTCAGGCCTCTGAGCCCAAGCCAAGCCATCACATCCCCTATGACTTGCATGTATACACCCAGATGGCCTGAAGTAACTGAAGAATCACAAAAGAAGTGAATATGTCCTGCCCCACCTTAACTGATGACATTCCACCACAAAAGAAGTGTAAATGGCTGATCCTTGCCTTAAGTGATGACATTACCGTGCGAAAGTCCTTTTCCTGGCTCATCCTGGCTCAAAAAGCACCCCCACTGAGCACCTTGCAACCCCCACTCCTGCCCGCCAGAGAAAAAACCCCCTTTGACTGTAATTTTCCTTTACCTACCCAAATCCTATAAAACAGCCCCACCCTTATCTCTCTTTGCTGACTCTCTTTTCAGACTCAGCCAGCCTGCACCCAGGTGAAATAAACAGCCATGTTGCTCACGCAAAGCCTGTTTGGTGGTCTCTTCAAACAGACGTGCATGAAATTTGGTGCCCTGACTCGGATCGGGGGACCTCCCTTGGGAGATCAATCCCCTGTACTTCTGTTCTTTGCTCCATGAGAAAGATCCACCTATGACCTCAGGTCCTCAGACCAACCAGCCCAAGGAACATCTCACCAATTTTAAATCAGGTAAGCGGCCTCTTCTTACTCTCTTCTCCAACCTCTCTCACTGTCCCTCAACCACTTTCTCCCTTTCACTCTTCAATCCCTCCCTTCTCTTAATTTCAATTCCTTTCATTTTCTGGGAGAGACAAAGGAGACACATTTTATCCGTGGACACAAAACTCCAGCGCCGGTCACAGACTGGGAAGGCAGCCTTCCCTTGGTGTTTAATCATTGCAGGGACGCGTCTCTGATTATACACCCACCTTTCAAGGGTGTCAGACCACGCAGGAATGCCTGCCTTGGTCCTTCACCCTTAGCGGCAAGTCCCACTTTTCTGGGGAAGGGGCAAGTACCCCAACCCCTTCTCTCCTTGTCTCTACCCCTTCTCTGCTTTTTTGGGAGAGGGGCAACTATTCCTCAACCCCTTCTCCTGCACCCTTAGCGGCAAGTCCCGCTTTTCTACGGGGCAAGAACCCCCAATCCCTTATTTCCACGCCCCAACCTCTTATCTCTGTGCCCCAATCCCTTATTTCTGCACCCCAACCTCTTTTCTCTGTGCCCCAATCCCTTATTTCTGCACCCCAACCTCTTATCTCTGTGCCCCAATCCCTTATTTCTGCACCCCAACCTCTTTTCTCTGTGCCCCAATCCCTTATTTCTGCACCCCAACCTCTTATCTCTGTGCCCCAATCCCTTATTTCTGCACCCCAACCTCTTTTCTCTGTGCCCCAATCCCTTATTTCTGCACCCCAACCTCTTATCTCTGTGCCCCAATCCCTTATTTCTGCACCCCAACCTCTTTTCTCTGTGCCCCAATCCCTTATTTCCACACCCCGACCTCTTATCTCTCTGCCCTAATCCCTTATTTCTGCACCCCGACCTCTTATCTCTGTGTCCCAATCCCTTATTTCTGAGCCCCAACCTCATATCTCTGCACCCCAACCCCTTATTTCTGTGCCCCAACCTTTTATATCTCTGTGCCCCAATCCCTTATTTCTGCACCCCAACCACTTTTCCCACTTTTCTGGAAGATAAGAACCCCCAAATCCCTTCCCTCCGTTTCTCTACTCTCTCTTTTCTCTAGGCTTCCTTCCTTCACTATGGGCAACCTTCCGCCCTCCATTCCTCCTTCTACTCCCTTGGCCTGTGTTCTCAAAAACTTAAAACCTCTTCAACTCACACCTGACCTAAAACCTAAATGCCTTATTTTCTTCTGCAATGCCGCCTGACCCCAATACAAACTCAACAGTAGTTCCAAATAGCCAGAAAATGGCACTTTGAATTTTTCCATCCTGCAAGATCTAAATAATTCTTGTCGTAAAATAGGCAAACGGTCTGAGGTGCCTGACGTCCAGGCATTCTTTTACACATCAGTCCCTTCCTAGTCTCTGTGCCCAGTGCAACTTGTCCCAAATCTTCCTTCTTTCCCTCCTGCCTGTCCCCCCAGTACCAACACCAAGCGTCGCTGAGTCTTTCTAATCTTCCTTTTCTACAGACCCATCTGACCTCTCCCTTCCTCCCCAGGCTGCTCCTCGCCAGGCCGAGCTAGGTCCCAATTCTTCCTCAGCCTCCGCTCCTCCACCCTATAATCCTTTTATCACCTCCCCTCCTCACACCTGGTCTGGCTTACAGTTTCGTTCTGTGACTAGCCCTCCCCCTCCTGCCCAGCAATTTACTCTTAAAAAGGTGGCTAGAGCTAAAGGCATAGTCAAGGTTAATGCTCCTTTTTCTTTATCCCAAATCAGATAGCATTTAGGCTCTTTTTCATCAAATATAAAAACCCAGCCCAGTTCATGGCTCGTTTGGCAGCAACCCTGAGACGCTTTACAGCCCTAGACCCTAAAAGGTCAAAAGGCCGTCTTATTCTCAATATACATTTTATTACCCAATCTGCTCCCAACATTAAATAAAACTCCAAAAACTGGAATTTGGCCCTCAAACCCCACAACAGGACTTAATTAACCTCACCTTCAAGGTGTGCAATAACAGAAAAAAAGTTGCAATTCCTTGCCTCCACTGTGAGACAAAGCCCAGACACATCTCCAGCACACAAGAATTTCCAAACGCCTGAACCATAGCAGCCAGGCGTTCCTCCAGAACCTCCTCCCCCAGGAGCTTGCTACAAGTGCCAGAAATCTGATCACCAGGCCAAGGAATGCCTGCAGCCCAGGATTCCTCCTAAGCCGTGTCCCATCTGTGTGGGACCCCACTGGAAATTGGACTGTTCAACTCACCTGGCAGCCACTCCCAGAGCCCCTGGAACTCTGGCCCAAGGCTCTCTGACTGACTCCTTCTTGGCTTGCCGGCTGAAGACCGACGCTGCCTGATCACCTCAGAAGCCCCGTAGACCATCACGGACGCCGAGCTTTAGGTAACTCACAGTGGAGTGTAAGTCCGTCCCCTTCTTAATCAATACGGAGGCTACCCACTCCACATTACCTTCTTTTCAAGGGCCTGTTTCCCTTGCCCCCATAACTGTTGTGGGTATTGACAGCCAGGCTTCTAAACCTTTTAAAACTCCCCCACTCTGGTGCCAACTTAGACAACACCCTTTTATGCACTCTTTTTTAGTTATCTCCACCTGCCCAGTTCCCTTATTAGGCCGAGATATTTTAACCAAATTATCTGCTTCCCTGACTATTCCTGGACTACAGCCACATCTCATTGCCGCCCTTCTCCCCAACCCAAAGCCTCCTTCGAGTCTTCCTCTCATATCCCCCCACCTTAACCCGCAAGTATAGGATATCTCTACTCCTTCCCTGGCAACTGATCACAGGCCCATTACCATCCCATTAAAGCCTAATCACCCTTACCCCACTCAATGCCAATATCCCATCCCACAGCACGCTTTGAAAGGATTAAAGCCTGTTAACACTCGCCTGCTACAGCATGGCCTTTTAAAGCCTATAAACTCTCCTTACCATTCCCCCATTTTAAGTGTCCTGAAACCAGACAAGGTTTACAAGTTAGTTCAGAATCTGCGCCTTATCAACCAAATTGTTTTGCCTATCCACCCCGTGGTGCCAAACCCATATACTCTCCTATCCTCAATACCTCCCTCTACTACCCATTATTCTGTTCTATATCTCAAACATGCTTTCTTTACTATTCCTTTGCACCCTTCATCCCAGCCTCTCTTTGCTTTCACTTATACTGACCCTGACACCCATTAGGCTCAGCAAATTACCTGGGCTGTACTGCCACAAGGCTTCACAGACAGCCCCCATTACTTCAATCAAGCCCAAATTTCTTCCTCATCTGTTACCTATCTCGGCATAATTCTCATAAAAACACACGTGCTTTCCCTGCTGATTGTGTCTGATTAATCTCCCAAACCTCAATCCCTTACAAAACAACAACTCCTTTCCTTCCTAGGCATGGTTAGTGTGGTCAGAATTCTTACAGAAGAGCCAGGACCGCACCCTGTAGCCTTTCTGTCCAAACAACTTGACCTTGCTGTTTTAGCCTAGCCCTCATGTCTGCGTGCAGCGGCTGCCGCTGCTTTAATACTTTTAGAGGCCCTAAAAATCACAAACTATGCTCAACTCACTCTCTACATTTCTCATAACTTCCAAAATATATTTTCTTCCTCATATCTGACGCATATACTTTCTGCTTCCCGGCTCCTTCAGCTGTACTCACTCTTTGTTAAGTCCCACAATTACCATTGTTCCTGGCCGGGACTTCAATCTGGCCTCCCACATTATTCCTGATACCACACCTGACCCCCATGACTGTATCTCTCTGATCCACCTGATATTCACCCCATTTCCCCATATTTCCTTCTTTTCCTGTTCCTCACCCTGATCACGCTTGATTTATTGATGGCAGTTCCACCAGGCCTAATCGCCACATACCAGCAAAGGCAGGCTATGCTATAGTACAAGCCACTAGCCTGCCTCTTAGAACCTCTCATTTCCTTTCCATCGTGGAAATCTACCCTCAAGGAAATAACTTCTCAGTGTTCCATCTGCTATTCTACTCCTCAGGGATTATTCAGACCCCCTCCCTTCCATACACGTCAAGCTCGAGGATTTGCCCCCACCCAGGACTGGCAAATTAGCTTTACTCAACATGCCCAAGTCAGGAAACTAAAATACCTCTTAGTCTAAATAAACACTTTCACTGAATAAGTAAAGGCCTTTCCTACAGGGTCTGAGAAGGCCACCACAGTCATTTCTTCCCTTCTGTCAGACATAATTCCTCAGTTTAGCCTTCCCACCTCTATACAGTCTGATAACAGACGAGCCTTTATTACTCAAATCAGCCAATTAGTTTTTCAGGCTCTTAGGGTTCAGTGAAACCTTCATATCCCTTACGGTCCTCCATCTTCAAGAAAAGTAGAACGGACTAAAGATCTTTTAAAGACACACCTCAATAAGCTCAGCCACCAACTTAAAAAGGACTGGACAATACTTTTACCACTTTCGTTTCTCAGAATTCAGGCCTGTCCTCAGAATGCTACAGGGTACAGCCCATTTAAGCTCCTGTATAGATGCTCCTTTTTATTAGGCCCCAGTCTCATTCGACACCAGACCAACTTAGACTGTGCCCCAAAAAAACTTGTCATCCCTACTATCTTTTGTCTAGTCATACTCCTATTCACCATTCTCAACTACTCATACATGCCCTGCTCTTGTTTTCACTGCTGGTTTACACTGTTTTTCCAAGCCATCACAGCTGATATCTCCTGGTGCTATCCCCAAACTGCCACTCTTAACTCTTGAAGTAAATAAATAATCTTTGCTGGCAGGACTATGCTGAATCTCCTTAGGCACTCTCTAATCAGATATCCTGAGTCATCCCAATTCTTAAACCTTTTATGCCTGTTTTTCTCCTTCTGTTATTCCATTTAGTTTTTCAATTCGTACAAAACCGTATCCAGGCCATCACCAATCATTCTATACGACAAATGTTTCTTCTAACATCCCCACAATATCACCCCTTACCACAAGGCCTCCCTTCAGCTTAATCTCTCCCACTCTAGGTTCCCACGCCACCCCTAATCCCGCTTGAAGCAGCCCTGAGAAACATCGCCCATTCTGTCTCCATACCACCCCCCAAAAATTTTCGCCGCCCCAACACTTCAACACTATTTTGTTTTATTTTTCTTATTAATATAAGAAGGCAGGAATGTCAGGCCTCTGAGCCCAAGCCAAGCCATCACATCCCCTGTGACTTGCATGTATACACCCAGATGGCCTGAAGTAACTGAAGAATCACAAAAGTGAATATGCCCTGCCCCACCTTAACTGATGACATTCCACCACAAAAGAAGTGTAAATGGCCGGTCCTTGCCTTAAGTGATGACATTACCTTGTGAAAGTCCTCTTCCTGCCTCATCCTGGCTCAAAAAGCACCCCCACTGAGCACCTTGCAACCCCCACTCCTGCCCGCCAGAGAACAAACCCCCTTTGACTGTAATTTTCCTTTACCTACCCAAATCCTGTAAAACGGCCCCACCCTTATTTCCCTTTGCTGACTCTCTTTTCGGACTCAGCCTGCCTGCACCCAGGTGAAATAAACAGCCATGTTGCTCACACAAAGCCTGTTTGGTGGTCTCTTCACACGGACGTGCATGAAAGATTCCACTCTGTCGCTGGCATTTCAAAATAGTGGCTGTACTCAGTATCTAAAATAAGAGCTTAAATTAAGATTGTTAGTGAAATGTATCTGCTGCTACAGATTAGATGCCATAATCTATATTCAACCTATATTCAATGTCTTCTTTCTCTACTTCCCATTTCGGAGACCATTCATCTTAGTGGGATTGTTACTGTCTAGGTCCATTTCCTCGTGGGCACAGATCTTTGTTCCTGAGGTTTCTACGCCTCTCAATACTTTGGTGTTCTCAGTCCATGATTGCTAAAAATGCTCACTTACTCTCATCACAGAGAAAGAAGCACTAGGGGATATCCCAGTGAATTTCTCACATTCCAGACTCATGTCCTCCATGCCCTGATTCAGGAACAGCAACTCTAGCACCTCATTGTGGCAGTTATAAGAATACACCTTGCAGATCTCTGCAGGTGCATTTAATTGTCTGAGCTCTGAAATTAAGTCCATGCTTCCCATGGACTATTCCCAGCCAATAATTTACCAAGTAAAGAATACTAAGGTAAATCTAGTCATAGGAGGTAGAGGACTCCTCTGACAAGCAAATTTGATTCAAGGACTCCCTAACAGCCTTGCCAATCTCTATTATAATTGTGTTGAATCTGAGATGCTTCTACCCAATCTTCTCTCTCCTTTAACTAGGATTAGATCTTCATCAAAGTGTCATTGCATTGCCAACTTCCTTCTTACTCTTTCCCAATTTCCCTCACAATTATGGCGATTTTAAATATATGGCAAATGGCTAATCCTCTCTTGGTGTCTTTTTCTTGGAGGACCTGACACAACATAAGTGATACTATGACAGCAAACTTTATAGAAGATTCCATAGCAAAGATAGAGGAGGGTGACTGTTTAAAGCAGCAGTATTGAACACTTGCTGCACTTATGAGCATCTCCAGAAGGCCATCTGAACTTCAGAACTCCCGCTGCTCCAGTTTTTTGAGGTCGTTTTTGCAACCTAATCATCACAATTCAACTTCTTCCTTTTTTCAGTTCTGCACTGTCATGGCCTTTCTGGTGTAGTTCCTGACAGCACTCTCCAATCAACCCCCTGTAAGGCAATCTCATTTTGGGAAACCCAACCTATGACTGCAATGCAAACATTCTTTTCTACCTTTGTTATAGAATCTTTTATTAAATTGACATTGCTCATGAATGCTTTTAAGATGATTTTTTTTTTTCAAAATTTGAAAAAGCGTTGAACTTCATATTTGTGTTTAGGCCACACAGACAAAGCCCTGAAGGAGCCCTGAAGAGAAAGAGATCCTTCGAGAATGAGTGTTTGTGAATTTGCACAAATTGATGAAGCTTAGGGTTTCCCCAGTCATAGGCTTTGGAAGGGGTTGAGGAAAGAATATTATGGTCAAAGAAGTCCTCAAAAGACATCAGACTATAATAATTTTATGATAATAAATCTATTATGTTAAATTGTTAGGGGATCTATCAAAATATTGTTATGTGTTTGGAGCCAGAACACCACTGGGAAATTAAGGCTAAAGTTTAGGCTTGGATATTTTCTACTTGGAGATTGGAGTTGAGGCCATAAAAAGGAAAATATGCTTTGAAAGAAAATACTTAGTTCTAAATTTCTGACAACCTTCTCTACATTTGCAACGCTAAACTTGCTCTGACATTCTTCACTTTTCCTTACTGCTTTGTTATCATATTTTGTACTTTTTACCATGTAACCTATTGTATATTTTAGTTATTAATCTTGTATATTGTTTGTCTACCTCATCTATAATGTAGTTTCAAAAAGGGCAAGGTTTTCTCTTTATATCACTATGAAATTCCCAGAACCTGGAATAATATCTGGCTCATATTCGGTTCTTAATAATTTCATGAGAATAAATGAATATGAATGAATAAACAAATTTCAAAAGAGTTTAGATAAGAGAGTTATATAACAGAAGCCAGCCTTTTTACTGAAGTAAAATGAAATTTATTTTTCTAAGAAAAAGGATTACTGTACCCTGATCTGGAATTTAAGTAAGAAAGATGAGTTTTACTCTTGCTTATATGTGAAATATACTAAGACAGTGCTTTTAAAACTTCATTGCACTTACAAGGCAATCTTGCTAAAATGTGTATTCTATTCCAGTTTTTCAAGTGGTACCTGAGATTCAGCACTTCTAAAAAGCTCCAAGGTGATGAAGGTGCTGCTAGTTGGAGGCCATACTTTGAGTTGCCAGATGCTAAAAATTCAACAGATGGGGTATGTAAGCAGATAGTGTAGCATATTGAAAACAACTCTCAGTTTGAATCAGAAGCCTGGGTCTGTGATATTATGACACTAACTAGCTTAATATTTTGTGGATTATTGTGCATGAAATATATCCATTTAAATATCATACTTTCAATTTAAATTATGGGTTTCAACTTTGCCAGGCAAATATAATCAACAATATATTCAATAGTATGCCACAGCTAAAGACACAAATGAAAACAATGATCTCAGACTTTTGATCCAGGTGCCAAGTTAGAAAAAGAAGTTAAAACAGTGTAGTTTATTTCTGTTCAATGTCCTGTATAGGTGGAAACTAATTTCAGGGTTAATTTTTGGTTAAACAACTAGCTTGGAAATTTATAATTATTTGGGATTGAGGACCAAACAAGGTGAGGCACGATAAAGAAATTAGAAGGGGATCGCTATGAAAATCAAGATGAATAAAACGAAGGGAGTGTTTACGGCAAAGTAAAAAAAGAGGCATCAAATTTTAATTCACTGCTGCAAAGTAGAGCTCTTATATCTATTGCTGATGTAAGGAGACAATCTGGATTATACTGTGAGAAGGAAAGCATAACAAACAACAATCCTTGACAGTATTCAGATTAACAACCTTGTAGTTGAGGTTGTTGGTACAACCAGTTAAATGAAGAAAAATTAGGTGAGACAAGGATATATATTAAGTATAAGACACAAAGTTAGAAAAAATATACTGTCTTTTTTCTCTTTTTATCTGAATATGTAACTATTCTAATCTGAAGCAGATTACATGGTCATAATTGATTTAAGACTAGAAGCATAAATTTTCTCTTTTGAATTCCATCAGAGTCTACTCTGGCATTCCCTCCTATGTACGCAAGGGTTTGTAGGTAAAGATTGAGGGCGCTTAACAAACTAAGTAAAAAGAAACATATGTTACTGTGTATGTAAATTACTATTTTTAGAAGATATTCTTAATAGTTTCTTCTTAATACTTGTTAGTAATTATCAAAGGGCATTTTTCCAATTTTCCACCTTCCCAATTTATTAGAATTTTGACTTGTTTCAATGATTTTACACCCAGAAGTATAGCCTATAAGACAAAATAAATATTTTAATTTATTCATGGTCACTATTTCTTATCTGCAAATTATTCCTTACTACTCTTCCTTAACTTTTTAGTTATATTTTATATGTTAATGAGAAAGCAAAATACAAATATTTTCTGCATTACAATGCAGATGTCTTGCTACTTTTGCTCTATGACTATGAATTTTGAAATCTCATCAAAATTTGAATTTGTTTTTCTTATTTTATAATCCTGATTAAAACACAGAATAAATAAGCACTCCCAAGAACATTTTTGATGTCATTTTCTTTACTTATTCGGCCTGATTGCCTTTAGGAGAGTGATGTCAAATAAGAATCGAACTTTGAAAGTCTTAAAGCAAACATATACAAATAACATGATTATGAGATTGCATTTTTTAGGTTGGCAATGCAGATTCTGGTGGTTAAAGATCCTGAAGTTTTTCACAGACAATTTGTCACCTCTGAAAGAGATAACAGGTTGCTTCAAAGCTTTGATTGTCTGTGATAGAGAAATTAGAAAATTGAGCACCACTTGATGAAACAGCTGAACCAATTTTATATTTCCAATTCATTTTCTCACAAATAATGCTTGAAATTAAGGGCATAAATAAGTAAAAAATGAGCCAAATTGTTTTTACATTTATTTAAAAAAATAGAAATTGAGAAGTGAGTTACTTCTTTAATGCACAGCTCTGTACTGGGAGAAAATTTCTGTTTAAGAAACTTAATGGAAATGTGTAATGAAATTATCTTACCACCTTTCAGTGAAAATATCCTTAAATTATTTTGCCCAGCAAAATCCTTTGACAGGGACAGAAGAATGACAAGTAGTTTGCTCCCCTCCCTCTCTGCCCTTTGGTAATTTTAATTTTTCTACTCTACATTTCAGTGGAGCAGGTTAACATCTTAAAAATTAATTTATAGTTAAAAATGGTTATTTATATTATTTCTTCATCTCTGAATTTAAAAAATTCTGAGGTATTATTTGAAATTTTGATAAGATCCTAAATAAGATTCAACTCTTGCACAAAAGAATTAGAAATATTTGTTTTATATCTTAGCACAGTAAAAAAACTTCCTGATTGAATTAAGTGGCTTCCTGGGTCACACCTGATTGCCTGAATATGTTAGTACATCTCTAAGTTTAGTGATTCTAAATATTTGAAGCATATGACAAAGATAAAAGTCATTATCAGTGAGTATCATTGGTTTACTCTTTAATGTCAAAGTATAATTATCAAAAACGTAAAGCATGACTGTCATACAAATATACAGTGATCACATTTCAAAGATTTTGTTCAACACATAAAGGAGGAAACCAGTGAGATGAAAAATCTGATCCAAACGAGAATTAGAAAAACAAAGATTATATAGTACAGACTTTACATAAGTTCAACAAGATAGTTAGTGTCCTACAGGGCAATAAAACCATAACTTTTGTGATGGTATTTAGCAGGAGAAAAAATTCAGACAAGTTCTGCAAATTAGTATGTAACTTTGAAGTGTCCGAGGTCTTAACTTTTTAGTAAATTTCAAAGTCACATGAAAGTACATTCCTTTGGAAAATTAAGTATTCTTTGGGTGATCCTGTTAAACAGCTTTTCAGTATGATACTGAAATGAAATGCTGAAATATCTTATAATAACATTTCTAAGTTTTAGATAATTTCTTAATACTAATTTCTAAACCAAACTTTAAAATGTGATTAAATTAAAAATCTTATGTGTATAGATTTGTGTGTGTATTTATTTATGTGGGAGTATAAAAAATACCTGATTTTTGATATTTGAATTTGAGAGTAACAGTGTTTGTGGATAAATTAATCATAGAAAATTAGAGCCTTGCTTGAAAGAAAATGACATGATTACACATCCTGTGGAAAAAAACATTCCAACATAAACTAAAAATTTAAAAGCAAAAATATAAAAGTTGATTGAGATATTTATTTAAATATCATTGGACTTAAATCATGTGAATGGGGCAGACCCTAATATTCTTTCCCATCAGCCACTCCCTCTTTTTCCCTGTCAAGTCTGTAATTTGGTTGAAGAATTCAAAGATACTGTGGTCAGGGCATTTCAGTTTCTTCTCAGGCCCAGGAAAATAATGAAGAATTGGTCAGAATCTTAAATGGTATTCCCATTTCTTTTTGCTAATGATTGCTGTAGGAGTGGCCAGGAAGATGTGTGAAATGAATTGTTTGAAAAGTTCCTCCCCCAAATGAAAGAAATGCTAAAGCAAAAATAACATTTTTGTCTTCCACATTACTTTGTGATCTGTGATACTTGAATAGCAATCCTTTGGCCATAAGGCAGAAGAGCATCAGGATAAAAACCAGCATGCTCAGGATGGCAGAACAGAAAGTTGTAAGAATCTGAGTTTTCATGAAATAATTGTGCTAACCTTCCAACTTTGTTTTATGAAAATAATATTTCTTGTTTACGTCAATTTAGTGTTCTGTTATTTGCAAATATTAGTATTCAAATTGATGTTAATATTTTTAAACAGTATATGAGTATAAATAATAACATGAGATATTGGTATTTAATAAAACAAATATTTAGAAAAATAATTGTAGCATACAATTCTTAACTCCACTTAATTATTTTCCCCAAAATAAATGCAGTTACTTGGCCACATCTGCTGAATAAATGTAATGCAGATGGAAGTTACTATTTGGAGTTATCATCATGTAATCTGGATAAATCTTATCAATAAATCTCATTTATTATTTAATGAAATGTTGGCACATTATTCTTTTTGCATGAACCAGATCATTGTTCAATGTTTTACTTACTTTTGTTGCATTTTTTTCCATGTAAGCAGTTGAGAAACTTGAGACCTTGGCCTGAGCTTAATTCTTTATTTCTCTTTGTTAAGTGGAGACTTGACCTTAACCTCTGTTTCTAAATACAGCATTGTTTTTTCTTTCCATGGCTACTGGCCATGATTTTATTTACTGGAAAAAATAGAACCCTAGGAAAAAAGGGAAGGACAAAATCGAGACTGAGCAAGCTGTAGAGCATTGATTCTAAGTGCCAGGGATGGCTTATAATCAGTACAGTTGTTGTGGTTTCTGGATGCTTATTTAATGTTTTCTTATCAAAAGAATAATTCTCTCATGTGTAGTTTCTGAAATGTGACAGCACTCCAGCACTTTGTTCTAAAGCAAGGATAGTCTTCTCTCCCCACAGAATGGTTTATTATTGTCATCATCATCATCATCACCATTACCATCTCAATTATTTAAAATATTTTCTACTTTACTAAAATTTATATGAAGTGCTGAATATATAATTTCCTCTTTAAGTACCCATTTTATGATTTTGATTTCTAAAGCAATTTCTCCTGACCTTTTAGTTATATTTTCTTCTACAAAGAGGCAAAGTTTAATTTTTTCTCTCATGTGAAATACACTCCAATCTATATTTAGTAGAAGGTAGCTGTGGAAACATTAGCTATGAATGTTTTGATTCTTGTAAATTATAAAATAAAAGTATAATAACGTAGGCTTATTCTTTAAGTTCCACTGGGGAGAGATTTTTGGTTTAATATTTTAGAGGTATTTAATTTCTAATAGAGGAAAATACTTGAAGAGAGGGGAGTTGTAATACATTTATCTGCATGTATCTTCTTGTTAGCTGTGATGAAATATTACAACAGGACCAATATAATTATTTAAAGGTATGATCATAAATCACTCATAACAGAGCAGCATCCAGCAGGCTAAACATCAAGTGAGGGATTATTCGTATTTGCTAGTGATTCATTTTAACAAGAAGGTAAACTGGTAGCTATTCCAGTGAGAAGTGGGATTAACTTGCTTACTTATAGAAGGGTCCAGTATTCTCTTAGGAGGAAGCCTGCAGAAATACTGGTCTATCATAAAAATTTCATGAGGGCAACATAAACGTATTTCATGACCGTAGACTTTTTTTTTTTGCCAGTTTGACATCCAATAATTAAATCATTTGTGTCCCTTTTAGATCTCCACAGTAAAACTGAGCTTATAGATATTCCTAACAATTTCAATTGTCCTAATTGATAAAGAGTTTGCATGAATAATACAATTATGCAAAAATAACATTTTTGTTTATAAAAATATGTCACCCTTCACTCAATAATTCTTTAAGCATACACTGTCATTAGCCCACAAATTGCAGGGCTGGACTATATTTTTTTTAATATTGTGGTAGAGAAGTTTGAAAAGAATACAGAAAACTCAGTGAATGAATAGAAGCAAAGTTTCTAAATAAGGACAGGCACTAACATCTGTACCTCTTTATACGTATCAGGTTGAGAGGTATTTTTTACAAAAAGAGGCTGAGGTATAGAATAATGGGACTAGACCATCAACTCTGAAAATTTCTACTCCACCAGATAGATTTACAACATGATCCTACCAGGAAGTGTGAGGTCCTAGAAAGAAGGCTTCTTACTTCCTTCAACATCAGAGTATTTTCCTGTTGCTAGAGTTGTACTGTATGCCAAAATGGTAGGCCAAAGAAATATTGTTCCTTATGGGTGATTTACATTTGGGAAAATTAATGCCTTTATTGTTTAAAAATTGATCATGAGATACTTATCTACAGAAAACATTCCACTGTATCTGATGGGGCTTATGCCATCATTCAACTTGATGAGTTCAAGAAACATTTGTAAAATCATTATTACCAAATTAAAATACAAGTAAAAGAGAAGCCATTGGACAAATCCTTAATGTCTCACGGTCTCATGAAATTTTTTTCTTTAATTCCTGTATATTATTTTGAATATGAAATTTCTATTTTTCCTCTTTATCCAGAGTAGGATTTAATGGCATCAAGATTACAGCAAGAGTGTCGTCAATGTCTGAGAGAAAAGGCACAGGACAATTCATGTAATCTACTTTTTACCTCCTCACTATGCCAGCAGCACACTTGGAGAGGAATGTTATAATGGAAGAAGCTGCCCAGTCACTGATTAAAATGTAAGAAACTGTGCTCCATTGCAGACATCTCCTGTTATGCGTTCATGAGCATATATGTGTTCTAGTATGTGTAACCTTTAAGACAATGATGGAATTTGAACCATACTTTAGGACTGACACAGGTAAGAGAGTCTTGTATTAATAAGCTTCAAAATATTTTATTGTAACTTAAATTACCTCAGCAATGATACTGGGGTAGTCAGAAAAAAAATTCACCTAATTTTGAACTGATTTTTTTTAAACTTTAGTAGCTTTGTGTTAGACAGATAATGTAATCTGAGTTTCAATTAACTTATTTATGGTATGGTAGTAAAACTACCCTCTACACAGTGCTCTTGATAGAGTTTTTAGATATAAATAGTTTCTGTGGTGGAAGGATTTGTTTTGCCAGTTGAGTCACATGTAATGTTTGACAAACATAAGAAGATATTTGAGATGAAAAAATGATGTTATATAAAGGCACAGAAAGAGAAAATACAAGTTTGATTGAAGTAGAGGGCTTATAAAAGGAAAATAAGTGTTAAAAGTGAGCTTTGGGGCAGATTGTGGAGTGCTTCATACAGATTGGGATCTATAGGAGTCTAACTGGCTACTAGACTTCTTGAGACATAAAATGATTGATTTAACTGGAAGCAATATGCATGTTAGAAGGGAGAAAAAACTTCTAACGGAGGTAGCAGTTCAATTAGGAAGCTATTATTGTGGTAAATGCAGCACTGGATTGCAAGTGTTAGCTCTTAGTGTATTTTTGACAATGATTGGTCTCTCAAGACTTTAGTTTCTTCGACTATTAAGTAAAAGCATTTACATTAGATGAATTCTATAATTTGGTATGACTTCTAAATATGACTCCTCCATAATATGGACTTGAATTTGAGTAGTGACAATCCAAAGACAATGGGAGATAAAAATGAAAAGCAAATACTTTTGTTATAGCAAGCAAACAACAGCAAAAAAACACATGGAAACAAAAACTGTAAAACTTGGTTACTTACTGGGTATATGTTTTTGTCATTTCACAAGATATTTTAAAGCAAATACTTAGCTCATAAATTATTGTTAATTACTAAATATATTTCTGATATTTTCAGTTTTTCCTTTTTCCTCTGCTTTCTTTTTCTTCTTTTTAATATCATGTTTCCTCAAAATTTCTTTCTGAACTATAAACCAATTTAGAAAAAAATCTTAAAGTTTGCCTTTGGGCTGTGACTAGTAATACAGGAGAATTTTTCAGAAGTTTATGAGAAGTGAAAAAGGGGTAAAAAGAACAAAAAATAACAGACCTTACATCCTCACCAAGTACTCCTGGGATTTCATGCAATATAAAATAATGTTATAAGGGAAAAGCACGGAAGCATTTATAAAAGTTACGAAATAGTATTTTTGAGGAAGGATGATAAAAATTTTACAATAGTTCTTTTATTTCATGTGAATTCTTTCTCATTCAGAATTTTGATAACCTAAAGATGATTGTATATTTTGGCTTAATCTCTGTAAATGTAAACTCAGCCAAGTAAAATATATATCCTTTCACATAAGCGTAGCCTCCCTTAAATTTAGAATATTTATCGTAAAGAAATATCAGAAGTAAATAGAATTTCTTTTCTAGAATAAAGAATACAGAGATGGAGTGAAGTAAGTACAAAATGCATGAGTGAATGAAGGATGGACACCATTTTTTTAAAAAATGTATAAGAGTGATATCTTTCACCCATCCTCTGGGGAAAAAAGTGAAGAGAGGTGCTTGAGTGGTAGTATGGTAGCTTTTTCTCTTGCCATCACCAGCACAAGTGAAGAAAAGCCACAGTGTGTGTAACTGCTCTCTTAAGACTCTATTCTCAGAAACTAAGATTAGTTTACAATGTAATGCTTATCAGTTTCTCTGTTTCCAACTTAAAACAAAGTAGAACTTAAAAAGACAATTCTGGATAATTAACGTTATTCTCTGGTGTAGAGCTTGATACTTTTGCCTAATTTTGAGAAAGTTTTGTTTGCCTTTTTCTCTTTCTCTCGGTCCTTCACTGATTCATTCTGGCAATATCAGCCTGAGGTATATGTTTTTCTGTCCTATAATTCAGGCATTTCATAAAATTGTGGAACTCAGTGTTATTCCATTTTTTTCCTTAATAGATATTTTTTCAGTTTTTGCTATGTGCCAAGCACTGTATAGGTGCTAGAAATACAAAGGAAAAAGAAAGAAGGCATCTCTTTTCTCAGCAGGATTAACATTCTAAAGGGTGAGACTGAATCCAAGGAAGAATTTTGTTGATGAAAACACAAAATGAAAATTAAATAGAATCAAAATTAACTAGTAAATTATTATTATTTTTAAGATATTTTAAAGCAAAAACAATATATAGCACATATATAAAATATTTTAAAGCATAGATATATTACATATTGCTTTATACATATTTTAAAACAAATATGTATACAATTTCAGACCAAAGGGTCTCCTGATTAATGAGAGAAACAGAGTTTAACTGATATATATATATTCCAGAGAAGTGTCTATATATGTCGTAAGCAAAAACAGAATGAAACAATAAAATAATGCAATTTAGAAAAATGTAACAGAAGAAAAATGCACACATACGAATTCTAACTTCCCTCCTTTTTTTCACTTTGTACTACCCTGACTTTCTTTCCTCCCTCCTTTACTTCTAACTACTTATTTTATTTTAAAAAATATTTGAGATAACTGCATTGAGTTAGATTAACTAATGAGAAGGCTTTAATTTTTATATCTCAATCATTAATATATTGGATGGTTATTCTTAAATTCAACAGTGTACTCATGCATAACGCTCTCTCCTATTGGAAAGCAAATTCTTATTATAGTTAATATAATCTCCTATCTTTATGAGAGTCCCTACAACAGATATAGTGTCAATTTAATATGGCTATATCTTGTAACATTCCTTAATTTAGGCCAATGGTGGTTTGCCATAGCATTCCACTTACCTTTTAAATTTGAACATTTAAAATGAATGAAATTCTGGGACTTTCTGCTGAGAATAAGAACAAAGAGGGCTAAAATATACCCTTCCACCCAAAGTGTTTGAACATCTTGCAGTGTTCTGGTGATTCTATCACTTTACACTGATTTTCTTCCAGCAAAATTTTCAATTCAAAAGTAATATGTGCAGAGAGGTAAGAAGTCAAAGAGACAGTAGCTGCTAAGAGGCAGAGAAGCTTTTCAAAGTCACACTGGACTGGGGGGACAAACTTGAAAAGTTATCTACCACTGTAAGCAGACTTGCAGGACTATAGTTTGGAGATGAGAGTAGAATAATGAAGCCCAGGATACAGAATTTATTGTTTCTTTAATGGCGATCATTAAAAAGTCAGGAAACAACAGGTGTTGGAGAGGATGTGGAGAAATAGGAACACTTTTACACTGTTGGTGGGACTGTAAACTAGTTCAACCATTGTGCAAGACAGTGTGGTGATTCCTCAAGGATCTAGAACTAGAAATGCCATTTGACCCAGCAATCCCATTACTGGGTATATATCCAAAGGATTATAAATCATGCTGCTGTAAAGACACATGCACATGTATGTTTATTGCGGCACTATTCACAATAGCAAAGACTTGGAACCAACCCAAATGTCCAACAATGATAGACTGGATTAAGAAAATGTGGCACATATACACCATGGAATACTACGCAGCCATAAAACAGGATGAGTTCATGTCCTTTGTAGGGACATGGATGAAGCTGGAAACCATCATTCTGAGCAAACTATCACAAGGACAGAAAACCAAACACCGCATGTTCTCATGCATAGGTGGGAATTGAACAATGAGAACACTTGGACACAGGGTGGGGAACATCACACACTGGGGCCTGTCATTGGGTGGGGAGCTGGGGGAGGGATAGCATTAGGAGATATATCTAATGTGAATGACGAGTTAACGGGTGCAGCACACAAACATGGCACATGTATACATATGTAACAAACGTGCACGTTGTGCACATGTACCTTAGAACTTAAAGTATATTTAAAAAAAAGACTTTTTTCCTTTTATAGGCAGATCAGGCTGGGAGGTAGAGAAGGCAAACAGAAAGCTGTTGATAAAATTCTAAATATCTAACAAAAATTATTGGTGATGCTATAGTTCTGGGAAGGAAAAATTGGCATTTAGAGCCTGATAGTGAATGGTCTTATTAAACAGCCCATAAATTTATTCTAAACTTCTAAAATTCCAAATTCTAAAAGTACCAGATAATCAGAAATTAGATGGTCTCCCAAAAATCTAAAGCTGATCTGCAAATTACTTTAGTTCCTGACAAGATTAAGGTTATTTTCTCCTACTCTCAGTGACTACCAAGACCAGCAAAACAATTGTTTCTTGAGGAAGATCACATCAAAAGATTCCATACCTTTCCTCATGCAGTTTCTGTCATCCAATTAAAAGTAATAAGGCAAAAAAACTTTCATTTTATACCATGATGCCATATACTGGGCCTAAGTTCAGCTTTTGATGTACTTTGGATAGTTGTCCCTGCCCAAATCTCATGTTGAATTGTAATCCCCAATACTGGAAGTGTATCCTGGTGGGAGGTGTTTGGATCATGAGGGTGGGTCTCTCATGGATTAGCACAGTCTTTGTGATAGACAGTTCTTGGAAAATCTGGTCATTTAAAAGTGTGTGACACTTTCCCCCTACTCCCTCTCTTGTTCCTGTTTTCACCATGTGAAGTACCTGCTCCCACTTCACCTTTTCCCATGTGTAGAAGTTCCCTGAGGCCTCCCCAGAAGCTGAGCAAATGCCACCACCACACTTCCTGTATAGCTTACAGAACTGTGAGCCAATTAAACGTATTTTCTTTGTAAATTACCCAGTCTATATATTTTTGATAGCAATACAGGAACAGCCTAACATACCCTTCCACTGATAAACAATTAGAAAACAGGATTAAATATATGGCAGAGCTGTTTTCAGAGATTGGACAAAGACATGGATTTTGATCCAACAGGATGTATATGCCTTAGAGAAGAAAAATAAATTTATGTGTACAGAATTAAAAAAATGTGAATTATCACAGACTACTCATCAGAAAAAAAACAATGTGCATGTGAAGGATACAATGGAAAGTCACTTAAACTAAGATGAAAGGGAAAAAAACACAAAAAACTTGTTCACTTATAATTCTATATCCAGGTTTACTGAAACCTTTTCTCCAGACAAAATCTGACAAAATCTGATAGAATTTGTTGTCAGCAGATGAACATAACAGGAAATGTTAAAAGAAGTTCCTCCCTGAAGATGAAGAAAAATGAAGCCAGATGGAAAATTGAATTTACACAAGGAATGACAGTGTCTAGAATGGTAAATATGTGCATGAATATAAAACACTTTGAAATTTTAATTTTTAGTACCTTTGAAATATAATTAAGTAAAATGAATTATTTTGAGGTCTATAACCCTGATGTAAGTAAAATGTATAACAACAAAGCACAAAAATCAGTTCGGAGGAAATAAAATTAAATGTTGCAAGGTCCTTTGATGATACATGAAGCAGAGTAATATTATTTGAAGGTAGACTGGAAAAAGCAGAAGTATGGCCACTAGCAGTGAATAGCATTAAAATTTCATCAGATAATTTAAGTGCATAAAAATATTATATTTTTATATAATATTGTATATAATAAATATTAAAGATGAGTGACTAGGGACATTGAATACCCACCCTGTCCAAAAGGAAGAATCAAAATTATGAATAGATAATTGTACCTGGAACAGAACATCTAGGAGCGAACACTAGAGTCCAACAGAAAAGCCACAAGAAATACCTGGGGCATAGAAGAAGAAAGTGAGTGGTCAGCTCAGTCGAGATCGGGATCAACTGGGAGCCCAGGGGTGCTCAGTGTTGTAAGGAAAAGGTAAGGGAGAGAACTTCAGCAGTCCACATCTCCAGCATGGACTGCTGCAATCCTAACCATGGGAGAAGTCCTGTACTCACATAAACACTAGTGTAGGCAATGATTTGGAGAACCCATGAGGGCACTGAACCAGACAGGGAACTCACACTGGGTCACTCACCCCATTGAGACCTAAGTGGCTACAGCAAGGTACCAATGTGAGAACACAGCCATGACAAGACTGCTTCCTGCCCTGGGAACCATAGTTCCCATATCTCCACAACTTGGGAGCCCGCACTGACATCCCCTAGTGCCTACCCAAAGAGCTACAGTGTCATCGTGCTGTCTGGACCGAAAGGTGTTGTGGAATCCCCAGTATTCTAGCCCACAGGGAGTACTACTCTCCAGAAAAAAAGGATAGTTCAGATCACCAAAAAGGGAGCACCACTTAGGACAAAGGAAACAAAAGCACGTGCTTTCTGGGCTGAGAGCTTTCTGTTTGGGGATGTGAGAAGTGACCCTGCTCCAAGCAGTGGCACAAACTGTGCTCAGCCTTGCAAACAGAGTGATATCCCTTCCCACTGGCAGAGTGGCTTCTACGCTTGGACCGACACATGGAAAATGGAATCCCTTCTCCTGCTCCTTGCACTTCTGTAGGCACAGCTGCTGTTGCTACCTCAGGAGGCTGGGGCAGTAGAGCTGAATGGCTGCCTTTCTGGGGCTGTTAGTTGTGAGTGTACCCCCACATGTGGTATGGCCTCCATGCATGGACTGTCCCATGAAAGATGGGTGTCCTCACCCTGTGCAGTGCTGCTGCTACTGAGAGTGGCAAGCCTGGGAGCTGCATGTCTGAGACTGGGTGTCAACCCCTTACCACGTCACCACCAACACCAGTGTACACCACTCAGGACCAAGAGAATCATCCTGCTGCTGCTATCTATCACCTATATACCATGCTTCTATCACCCATATACCATGCAAACTGCTCAGGACCCAAGAATCTGCTCACCTACCTAGATGAATGTTGCCACTCAGGCCATCTGAGCAAGCTATCTGGAGGCTCAAGAATCAGTCCATCTGATTCCATTAACATTGATGACAGTGTATTCTACCCTGGAGCACAAAAACAGGCATGTTTACCCACTGCTGCCACCATGGGGGTCTGAAAACTGGCCTACCTGGCATCCTTGTTTGCCGCAAAATTTTACCATAGCCTCCACTAATAACTGCACCCTGAACAACCTGAGGAAATAACAGATACCACTCAGGCTGTCACAGCTGAAAAATCATTCAGGGATTACACTGTCTCATGCACCCAGAATAAAAGCTAAAAGGTCTTACCCAACCAACACTATTAATATATTTTCAGGAAAAAGTACCCACCTACAAAAGAAAATTTGAAAAAAAAATTAAAAAGCAAGAAAATGTGACACCTACAAAAGGACATAATAATTCCAGCAACAGATCACAATATAAAAGAAATTCATGAAATTCCAAAAAAAGAATTCAAAATTATGATACAAAAGCTCAGTGAAATAAAAAAGAATTCTGAAAAACAATATGAGGAAATCAGAAAAAGAATCCAAGATATGAATGATAAATTTACCAAAGAGATAGATATCATAACAAAGAACCAAGCAGAAATTCTAGAATAAAGAACTCCGTGAATGAAATACAAAATATATTTGAAAGCTTCAAAGACAGGCTAGATGAAGCAGAAGAATATCAGAACTTAAAGACATGTCTCTTGAAATAACCCAGTCTGAAAACAATAAAGAGAAAAAGAATTTTAAAAGTATAAAAAGTATAAGTCAGACAACAATCAAAAAAAATAATTTTAAAAATATAAATAGGGGGCCAAATGGCTTACTATAAACAGCTGCCATTACAGGTTCCCACCAAGAAGAACCAAAATAGCATGTGAATCCTGCACTGGCAACTGAGGTATCCATGTTCTATCATCAGGACTGACTAGTAGGTTGACATGACCCATGGAGAGCAAAGAAAAGAGGGGTGATGCGATGGCTCACCTGAGAGCCACACCTGGCAAGGGGAGCCGCAACCCCCAGCCAAGGGAGGCAGTGAGTGATTGTGCTACCCAGCTTGGTAAACCATGCTTTTTCAATGGATCTGTGCAACCCGTGGATAGGGAGATCATACTCATGAACCCATCCCACCAGGGATTCTGTCCCAACCACAGAGTCACACAGATTCTCAATAGCCACTTGGCTGGAGACTGCCTAAGACTACTGAGCTCCCAGGGGAAGGGGAGGCCATCATCACTGCTGCTGCCTGCTGCCTTAGAAAACTGAGCACCCCAGGCAAGGGACGGCAGCCATCACTGCAGCTGCCTGCTGCCTAAGATGACTGAACTGCTGGCGGTGGGGGTAGGGCAGCAGCCACCCCTGCAGCTTCAGTCCGCTGTTTTTCCCCTGCAATGCCAGGGAGACTGAATGGTTTGGACTTAAGAGGTATTCCCCACAGGATAGCACACTGGCTGTGGCAGATTGTAGACATACTGCGTCTTTAGGCCAAACTCTGCCCCGTGCCTCCTGGGCAGGCCATCCCTCCAGGAACTTCAGCAACTCCAGCCAGAGGCTTAGGG